>NC_000010.11:107264307-107567337 GCF_000001405.40 Homo sapiens | reverse complement strand
ATGATTGGTTTTGAAATGTGAGGACATGACATTTGGGAGGGGCCAGGAGTGGCATGATATGGTTTGGTTGTGTCCCCACCCAAATCTCATCTTGAATTTTATCTCCCACAATTCCCACATGTCATGGGAGGAACCCTGTGGGAGGTGATTGAATTATGGGGGTGGGTGTTTCCTGCATTGTTCTTGTGGTAGTGAATGAGTCTCACGAGATCTGATGGTTTTAAAAAGGGGAGTTTCCCTGCACAAGATCTCTTATCTTGTCTGCCACCACATAAGATATGCCTTTCACCTTCTGCCATGATTGTGAGGCCTCCCCAGCCAGGTGGAACTGTAAGCCCAATAGTCCTCTTTCTTTTGTAAATTGCCCAGTCTCAGGTATGTTTTTATCAGCAGCATAAAAACTGACTCGTACATTCTCCAACACCTTACCACCACATCAACAATTCTCTTGCGTAACAACAGAGGATTGTAACAAAATGAACTGCAAATATAAGACTTGAATAAACATTTCCTAGGGAAACTCAGAAATAACAGAGGAGACAAAAATAAGGATGCCAGAGGAAATTGAAGCCTCAGCCACCAACTGCTATAGCAAACAATGAACACAATGTAAATCCTAGCCAGATAAACATAAATCCTCATACTATGGGCCTATTTACCTCCATTTCTATTACCTAATACATCATTTCTAGCTCTCAACATAAAGTTGCAAGACATACTAAAAGGCATTGAATATAATCTCAAGAGATAAAGCAAGTAAAAAAATAAGACTCAGATATAGCAGAGATGTAGAACTTATCAGATTGAGAATTTAAATAACTGTAATTAATATGCTTATTGCTGCAAAGAAAAAAGTGGGCAACATAAAAGAATATATGGGTAATAGAAGCAGAGAGAAAAAACTCTAAAAGAAAAGCAGAAATGAATGCTAGAAGTCAGAAACACTAAAATAAATAAAGAACGCCATTGATGGGCTCACCAGTAGACTGGACACACTAAGGGAAGAATCAATGAACATAAAGATACAGCAATAAAAACGTTTGAAATTGAAATAGATGATTCTAAGTTGAATATTAGTTTCTAAAACTATTGTTGAATTTTCCTTGCCCATCATATTATGCCGATTTTTATTTCATTAATTTTGAGACTCTTTTAATAGTGCATATATGAGTGTTTAAGTTTTCCTGATAGATTTGCCCCTTTATCATTAAAAAGTGTCCTTTTTTATTTAGCAATATTTTATTTAATATCTATTTATGCCAATTATACTAAAGCCTCTCTAATTTTCTTTGGTCAGCATAGTACATTACTTTTCATTATTGTACATTCAACTTATTTGTGGCTTTGAGTTAATGTGTGTCCCCATACACAGCAAGGTTGAATCTGCTTCTTGAATGAAGTGTTTTATTCATTTATACTTAATGTAATTAATGCTAATGTGGGCTCTACAATTGTCATTTTGTTACTTGTTTTTTACTATTTTTTATACCTTTTGTTGTTTTCCCCTCTATTGCTGCCTTTTATGTTGTTAAAAAGAGATTATCTAGTACACCATTTTAATCCACTTTTTATTTATTTTACTATATTTCAAACTGTTTTTGTTTTTGCCCTATGGTTAAAATTAACATCTTAATTTCAAATAATGTCATTTGTATTATTAATGCCAACTTAATTTCAATAGTATACAAAAAAATGTTGTCTCATTATAGGTTCATACCCATTTCCCCACTTTGCTGTATTATTTATATATATCATCTCTTTATTCATTATAATCCATTAACACACATATATAACTATTGTTTTGTTAAGTTTAAATTTTTAAAATCAGATAATGATGAAAAATGTAACAAACTAAATTATACATAATGTTTTATATTTGTCTATGCAGTTACTAGTATCTTTACTGGTACTATTTATTTCTTTGTGTTGATTAGAGTTACTTTCTACTATAATTATATGTCAGCCTAAAGGACTCTTTTGAAATAGTTTTTGTATAATGGTTTTACTGGTGATGAATCCTCTTCATTTTTTATTTTTTGGGAATGCCATTTTTGAATGCTTGTTTCACTGGATATAGAATTATTGGTTGACAATAGTTTTTGTCAGCACATTGTGTTCTCTGTCTTCCATAGTTTCTGATAAGAAGTCAGCTGTTAATTTTACTGAAGACATTTTGTGTTTTATGAGTCATGTTTCTATTGTTGCTTTTAGTACTTCTTCTTTGTCTTTGAATAGCAAGAATTTAATTAAGATGTATCTAGGTTGAATCTCTGTTTATCCAACTAAATTTATTGAATATTCAGATTAATGTTTTTCATCACATTTGATAATTTGGGGTCATTATTATTTTTATGTACTTTCCCCCATTTCTCTCTAACCTATTCTTCCGGATCTCCTGTTATGCATGTGTTAGTATGCTTGATGACATCCCACAGGATTCTGAGGTTGTCTTCATTTCCTTCATTCCTTTTGCTTCCTGTTTCTCAAACAAGAATAATCTTTTTCCTCAGACTGAATAGTCTGAAGTGACCTATTTTCAAATTTTCTGATTATTTATTTTGTCAGGTCATATCTTCTGTTGAAATCTTCTAGTGAATTTTTTATGTCTAATATTGTACCTTTGTTCTGCAGAATTTCCCTTTGGTTATTTTATTTTAATATTATTTCAATCTGTATATTTATTTTCTCTAATAGGTCACACTTTCATATTTTCTTTTTAATTTTGTAGACTTTTTTAGTTCTTTGAAAAAATGCATATGCTGGTTAAAATTTTCTTCTAGTAACTTCAGTGTTGGAGAATCATCAGGAATAATTTATTTTTGCTGATTTTTTTCTATTCATACAGTATGCTTTTTGGTATGTTTTATATTTTTTGTTAAATGTGACAACTGTGGAATCAGATTTCTTCCTTAGTGTCTATTGTTCTTATATCTATGTATTAGGTTAATAATGATCCTGGACTGATTCTGTAAAGTCTGCATGCTTTGTCATGTATAGCCATTGAAGTCTTTGTTTGGTAAGTTTAGTGGTCTGCTAATTATTAAATAATTTTATTAAATTTTGTACCATACTTTGCTGAGAAGCTTTCTGTGTATTGGGGCATATCTTCAACACTATGCAGTAGTTTACACAGCTTCATTAGTCTTCACTTCTTTCTTGTACAAAGCCTCAAGATTATCCATAGGTGAAAGATAAAAGCCTTCTCAAGTTTTTCCTAGGCATGAGCCCAACTCTCTATATATCTGTGGCCTTCCGGGGTTTTTTTCTCTATAAGAGCTTTTTAAAACTCCCTGTAGTCATTTTATTCTCCAGATTTTTAGCTTAAGTTTATTATCTAGCTTTTTGTTTGACCCAACTCCTTCATCAATTCAAGTAACTAAAATGTTAAATAGTTGCTAGTGGTAATTTTAAACAAGCACATGGGGATAAGAATTTCCTCTGTGAGTTAGCTCTCATTTAGGATAAATAAAACAAACTTTGTGAATGGTATTTTTCCAATGAGCTCCCAGAAATGTCAGTGACAATTCTCTGGTGATGACAATTTTTTTTTTTAATAAAAGGAGCTCACCAAACTCATTCTGACCCATCCTATGAATGTCAGATTACTGGTTTTCACAGATTACATGGTTCTGAGGCTACTGGTTTTCCGGCTAATCTCAAACCTGGAGTGAGGGGCAGGGAAGTAAGACAAATTAAGACATTGCAAAGATTATTGTTCTTGCTGAGATTTAGTCATTTTTCTTGAATGAGGGCTTCTGAAAGTTTTGTGAGCCTTAAGTTAATTTCCAGAGTTCTGAAAAAGCAGATTTTTATAAATTTTGCCAATGTTCTCATTGCTATTATGGTGGAGTAGATTTTTTGGCAGTCCTTACTCCACTATTCTGGGTGTGTTTCTTCTATTAATAGGTTTTAATTGAAAAAAATCCAGAATTAAATAATATGTTTAGTGTGTATTAAGTGAAAATTAAGTGGTTGTGGCCCATAGCACAGCCTTTTATATATTCATGTACAATGAGACTCTCTATGTACGGAATAGTATAGGGAAATCTTCCCCAAATTATTTGATTACAAGTACCTTTTATTAGATAAGTTTTATTTGTTGGTTTGTTGTTTTTGCTTTGTTTCATTTTGTTTTAAATGGGACATACTTTTCAAAATGTACTTTGAGAAGTGATGGGATAGGTAAATTTGGGCTAGTCTCACTAGATATTTATAGCCAGATTAGCAAAAAGTCACCATATAATCAAAGAGAAATTACAGCCACCCTCTCAACAGGCTGTGTATCTTCTATATGCCAAGTAGAAGTTTCCTGCCCTTGCACAAGAGGATGGTTTTATGTAATGGAGAGTCTGATTTTCTTCTCAACTCATCTCCTAGGGGTATGGTAGGTTGTTAAACATTAAATCTCACTATAATTGGAAAGCCTTATATAATCACACCAACTAATTGGAATGATGATTAAATCACTAAACTCACTAATATTGTAATAAATTACAAAAGCCTTTAAAGAGGTTTTAAATCTCATAAAAAAGATGGAGGTAATAAGCATTAAAGAGTTATTTATGTTGCCAAAGGATAATAAGAGCATGTTAATAATCTATCCTCTGATCTATGCTAATATTTGTGGAACACCTACTATGTGACAAACATTAGGCTAGCAGGACCAGATAAATAATTTAAGGGGTAAAAATTTTAAATGCAAAATCTTTTGTTCAAAATTATCAAAAATTTCAAGACAGCAACATCAGAGATTCAAACTTATGTGGAGCCCTTCTAGGGATAGTCCCAGATATAAGGCAGTAATTGGGCAAAATGCCTGATAGTACCTGGCATAAGACAGGCATTTGGAAAGGTGCTTTCACATGTTATTGTGCCATTTACTTCATACAATGACCCTATTACCAAGGTACAATTATTATCAACCTCAGTCTACAAATGAGTTGACTGAGGCTTATGAAGAATAAATTACACATCTAAGATCACAGAGCTTGGGATTGAAATATGAACAGCCTAATTCCAAGGCTTTTAGCAACAAACCGCTACATGATATTCTCCCTGGCCAGAGTCAGGAGGTCAGACTCCTATTTCTGGCTCTGCCAAGGACTCAAGTTGGGGACTTTGGACAAATCACTGACCCTTACTTGTGTATTGTTTTCTCATTTCGCATTAAATAGATGATGCTCAGATCCTGTCCCCTTCTAACAGGCACTGCTTCTATGAAAGCTAAGGAAGTAGGATAGGGAGCCAAAAAATATCCCAAATTTTCTTAAAGCATGTTTTATTTTTTTTCCGGTGGCAACCCCAGTTGAAATAAAACCATTTCATACAACGAAGCACAGATGCATTGTTTTTATATCTGAGTCTTTACTCTGTACAATAGGTGTAGATTTGATCTTGCAAGAACTTATCCTGTGTACTAATTCCTGAGAATATTATTATATATTCCTTATTAAAAGGCTTCCAGCATTAATCTTTTCCAGGTTCTATTTAAGTTAATTAAAGTGTATATAGCAAGATTTCTCATTATATTTAAAGTGTGTGTGCTCATTATGGTTCTTCAAGAAGGAGACTAGCATTTGCACTGATTCATAAAGTTATTTAACACAAGAAACCTATTTTTAAAGTGTTTCACTGGGAGATTTGTATTCAGAGCCCTTAGTTCTGTTGGCAACAGTCAGCTTGCATTACCAAAAAGTACCAGCTACCAATACATAAATTCCAGTAACCTTCCTCAGTAGACCACAAGTATTATCTGCTAAGGGAAGGTGCCCATCCAAGAAAAGCTATGTTTTTATTAATGGTAGGGCCTGCCTGTTCTTTCAACTTCTATCCTCTCTTATGGATTGTTAATACTAAACTTCTCAGAAATAGTCAAGCTTTCTTTAGTCATCCCAACTAAACAAGAGGAGCCATTGAGTCATTCTATATTGTCTGACTTTCAGCTACAGAAAACAAGAAAAAATCTTGGCTGGCAGAACAAATTTACTGACCCAAGTAATGCAAGAGATTAATGCTGGTTTACTTCATGTGGTTAAATTGAGGGCTCATATGATATTGCCAGGTCTCAGCATCTCCACCTTCTAACTAGTTGTTGACTCAGTCTCAGATCTATGTGATGGCAAAATGTCTGTAGATTCTTTAGGCCTGCATAATCCCCATTTCAAATCCAGTGGCAAAGATGTCTATTTTCTCAGTAATTCAAAAAAGATCCTCGATGATAGCTCTGATTCGACCTGAACCAACTATTATGGACAGGAAAATAGAATGATGAGCCTAAATTATGTGCCTATGATTACACACACTCCAGGGGCTAGGGTGTGTATGAAGTCATCTAGACGGAAAAAGCATGAAAAGGTAGGCCAGATGCCTCTACAGATAACAATTGGGGTATTCTTCCTCAGAAAAAAATGACCAAAGCTAAAAGGCAGCTACAACAACTGTCCATCTCCCTCATGCCCTTCCTCCCTCTGAGGAGCTAGGCCTCATCGTCTTCATCTGTTGAATTCGACCAAACCTTCCAGGTCTGTCTAAAATGCCACTTCATCTATGAAGCGTATCTTGACTCCTTTACTCTTCTCTTACCTAAATTAGATGTCTTCCTCAACTTAGGCCAAATTAAATCTTTAACTTTCTTCTGTGGCTTTATATAATGTGCTTGTTTTATAGCTATTTTTTTCATTTCTTTCAGATTGTCCAAAAGGATGTAAAACTATAGCAGAAACTGTTTCAGTCATCTTTGAAGGCTTTGCAGATCTATATCAGTGACTCACAATTAGCAGATACATTGTAAACACCAGGCCAATTAGATTTCCTCAGTGACACTAAAATTAAAAGATAGCAATTACGCTTCCATTATACATATATATATTTTAATTTACCTAAGAGCCTTATATAGATTTATACAACTAATCCAAAGTGTAGTGTAATAAACACTGTTATTTACCTACCCTAAAGCCAGACTTGGGTGTTAACTCATTCACATATGACTTAGGGAATACATATTGCTTACATTAACTTAAGCCATTTTTTTTCTTTTCTTTCTCTTTTTCCTTTCCTCTTGTGATTGGTTTTAGGCTACCCATGTGACTGACCAAAGGAGGGTGAGGGTAGATCTTCTGGTGGAGTCTCTGGTAAAATGCCTTTCCTCTTAAAAAGAAACACATGAGAAGAGACAGTTATGCACCCTTGGTGAGATGTTGTCATATGAGTATGACACTGGAACTGTAGTAAATAATTTCTGACCATGAGGGAGGGCAGCTTGATGTACAAGACAAACACTATGAAGCTGAAAAAGCATAGATGGAAGAAGCACATGCTGGGATGCTGCTGCTAAGCTTCTGCTTAATGATCCTTGAACTGGCAAACTCTTCACATGATAAAGGTGTTCACTGTTTAAGCCAGTTGACATTAGGTTTTCTAATGTTAACCCAAAGCATCCTTATGAATGACCACAGAGTTAGTTTAAAAATGTGGATTTTTTTACATTTAAACTTTTATTTGTAATTGATGAATAATAATTGTATTTCTAGGGTACAATGTAATATTTTCATTCATGTACACATTGTGGCACAAATTATATCAAGCTAACATATCCATCTCCTCATATACTTACTATTTTTTTGTAGTGAGAATACTTAGAATCTATCTTTTTAGCAATGTTGAAATATACATTACTAACTATGGCTAATAATAATCATCATCATACTATGCAATAGATTTTGAGAACTTACTCCTCCTGTCTAACTGAAACTTTGTATTCTTTGGTCAAAATTTTTCCATTCCCTGTTCCACCTCCTCACTTCCTGTCAAACCCAAGCCTCCAGTAACCAACATTCTATTCTCTGCTTTTATATTTTTAGGTTCTACACATAAATGAGATCATGCAATATTTGTCTTTGTGTGCCTGATTTATTTTCACTTAAATAATGTCCTTCAGGTTCATGCATGTTCTTGCAAATGACAACATTTTCTACTTTCTAAAGGCAAGTGGTATTCTATTGTGTACATAAGCATTTTTTTGTCCATTTATCTGTTGATAGACACTTCAGTTTATACCATTTGTTGCCTATTGTTAATAATGCTACAATGAACACAGAAGTGCAGATATTGCTTCAACATACTGATTTCAATTTTTTTGGATATATACCCAGAAGTGAGATTGCTAGATCATATGATAATTCTAACTCTATATTTAGTTTTGAGAAACCTCCGTCCTGTTTTCCATAACGGCTGTACTAATTTTCATTCCTACCAACAGTGTGCAAGGGTTATCTTTTCTCCACATCCTTGCCAACACTTGTTGTCTTTTATCTTTTTGATAATAGCCATTCTAATGTGGGTTTTTGGACTCTCAGCCCATAGATTTTCCCAAGAGATGTTTACATTTAGTGAGAAAGAAGAACTTTGCCTAAAACATTGAAACAGTGCAATTTGTGAATTTGGCCTGAACCAGTGGAGAACCCTGGTCATCTGGACAGCATCTTATGGACTTTAATGCTTAGGAAAGGAAATGTTGAAGTCTTTAGATATTATTTGAGCAATAGAGCAGCATTCAAGACATAGTTTCCATCCTTAAGTATTTTCATTCTTACCATAAGCTTGAGAACTGACCTGTCCAGGCCCTTAATGCATATCATGGCAGATTTTTCTGCTTATATGAGCAGTGCTGGGTAAGAGGTAGCTAGTAGGCATTCAGTCAGTCACTTGATATATACAAATTGATTGACTGATTGTGTGACTCCAGGGAAAGCAAATCCCAAGAAACATAGAAGAAGAAGGAGAAATGCAAGAGCAAACAAAAAAAAAATGGGTCTACTCCATTTCTTTGATGGAAATGTTGTCCTAATTTTTACTTTGCAATGCTAGTAGGCCTAGTCTCAGAAATTGGCAGTGTCTTGCACTTAGAGTGCTGGGTTCCCATGTAGATGAATGAGGAACAGCTCTTCAATTACAAGACAGAAGCTCTTCCATGTAACTCTCCAAATTACCATATTAACATGGTGATTAGTGTGTGTGTGTGTGTGTGTGTGTGTGTTGTGTGTACCATGAACAGATTTTTAAATCCAGAAGCAGAGAAGGTAATTGAAAGAGTCACGTGGCCGAGTGACAACAATATTTCCTTGCGCAGATTTTAGCTCCCTGGAGATGAGCTGTGTTTCATAAACATAGCGTAGAATTCAACTGACACATTTGCCTAGGAATTTGTGGTGCCATTAAAACAAAACCAAAAAAAACCCATCACTGTCTTCTCTTTTGTCATTATTCATTTTTTCCTGTTTTAGAATGATAAACCACAGTAGAATCCACCCTGACCTCTGATAGAGATGGGTAGATGAGACTCAGTGTTTTATTTCCTGGGAGAATAACATAGCTATGAAATTAGTAGTTTCTTTTTTTTCTTGAGAGTTGATTAAGATCTTTTCAAATGATTACTTAATGAACTCTATCTTTTCACTGCTTTTGATATGTTTGCAATTAATTTACTCATCAAATATTTATTTAACAACTACAGTAGTCAAAAAATCCTATTGCTTGGTTGTATTAGTCAGTTTTCACACTGCTATAAAGAAATACCTGAGACTAATTTATAAAGGAAAGAGGTTTAATTGACTCACAGTTCTGCATGGCTGGGGAGGCCTGAGGAAACTTACAATCGTGGTGGAAGGGGAAGCAAATATACCCTTCTTGACAAGGTGGCAGGAGAGAGAAGTGCAGAGCAAAGTGGGAGGAACCCCTTATAAAACTATCAGATCTCCTCAGAACTCACTCACTATCATGAGAACAGCATAGGGGAACCACCTCCGTGATCCAATCACCTCCCGTGAGGTCCCTCCACAACATATGGGGATTATAACTCAAGATGAGATTTGAGTGGGGACACAGAGCCAGACCATATCAGTGGTGTATTAGTTTCTTGCCATTGCTATAACAAATTACCATAAACTTAATGGCTTAAAATAAGACAAATTAATTTTCTTATACTTCCAGGCTAGAAGTCTGACATGAGTTTTACTCGTATAAAGTCAAGGTTTCAGCAAGTTCCGTTCATTTTGGGGGCTTTGGGGAGAAAGTATTTCTTGCCTTTTTACTTCAAGAGGCTGTTGTCATTTCTTGGTTTATGGCTGCATTTCTCCAATCTCTTGCTTTTGTCATTAGTCTCCTACTACTTACTCTGATCTCCTGACACCTGTTTATAAAGTTGCTTATAATTATGCCAGATCAAACTGGATAATCCAGAATGGTCTTCCCATGTCAAGATCTTTAATAGTATCTGCAAAATCAATTTTTTTCATATAAGGTAAC
Source organism: Homo sapiens (assembly GCF_000001405.40). Lineage (NCBI taxonomy): Eukaryota > Metazoa > Chordata > Mammalia > Primates > Hominidae > Homo > Homo sapiens. Next base: position 107,557,035 of record NC_000010.11, on the reverse strand, counting down.
TAGCATAGTTTCTGAGAATTAGAAAGTAGACATCTTTTACCTAAATATAAAACCCCAAGCCATATAAACCTTAGAAGAAAACCTAGGCAGTACCATTCAGGACATAGACATGGACAACGACTTCATGACAAAGACACCAAAAGCAATTGCAACAAAAGCCAAAATTGACAAATGAAATATAACTAAGCTAAAGAGCTTCTGCACAGCAAAAGAAATTATCATCAGAGTGAACAGGCAACCTACAGAATGGGAGAAAATTTTTGCAATCTACCCATCTGACAAAGGTCTAATTTCCAGAATTTATAAGGAACTTAAACAAATTTACAAGAATAAAACAAACAACCCCATCAAAAAGTGGGCAAAGGATATGAACAGACACTTTCTCAAAAGAAGATATTTATGCATTCAACAAACATATTCTAAAAAGCTCAACATCACTAATCATTAGAGAAATGCAAATCAAAACCATAATGCGATACCATCTCATGCCAGTCTGAATGGCAATTATTAAAAAGTCAAGAAACAGCAGATGCTGGTGAGGCTGTGGAGAAATAAGAACAATTTTACATTGTCGGTGGAAATGTAAATTAGTTCAATCATTGTGGAAGACAGTGTGGCGATTCCTCAAGGATCTAGAACCAGAAATACCATTTGACCCAGCAACCCCATTACTGGGTATATACCCAAAGGAATATAAATAATTCTATAATAAAGATACATTCACACTTATGTTTATTACAGCACTATTCACACAATAGCAAAGATGTGGAACCAATCCAAATATCCATCTATGACAGACTGGATATGTGTCCTGTAATATACATCACAGAATACTATGCAGCCACAACAAGATATGAGATCATGTCCTTTGCAGGGACATGGATGAAGCTGGAAGCCATTATCTTCAGTGAACTAACACAGGAACAGAAAACCAAACACCGCATGTTCTCACTTATAAGTGAGAGTTGAACATTCCAAATACATGAACACAGGGAGGAGAACAACACACATCACGGCCTACCGGCGGGGATGGGGATGGCGAGGGGAGGGAGAGCATCAGGACAAATAGCTAATGCATGTGGAGCTTAGAACCTAGGTGACCAGTTGATAGGCATAGCAAATCACCATGGCACACATATACCTATGTAACAAACCTGCACGTTCTGCACATGCATCCTGGAACTTAAAGTAAAAAAAAAAAAAAAAAAAAAAGAAAGAAAGAAAGAAAGTAGACATCTATTTTTATGGAGAGGGGTGTTATTCAACCAACCCTAACAGAAAGAAAGAGATAGCTTCTTTAGCCTTATATAGTCTAGTTAGGAAAAGTAATATGTTTAATTAAAATGCTTTGTAAAAATGAATGCCAATGGAGAAATATCAAGAAAATGTGAAGTCAGGAGAGAGAATGTTCAAATCCAGCTGAGGGCACAAGGAAGGTTTCCTGAAGGAGATGGTTGAAGTTGAAGTTGAATTTAAAGGATTGGATGGTTGGGGGCTGGTGTAACAAAAGCTGACATGTTCTGAGTACTTCCTAAGAGGAAGGACACTTTTGATAAGTGCTTTATGAATTCTTTTAATTGTCACAAATGTGTCATAAGGTAGGGACTACTATTTTCCTATTACAACAAATGGCTAAAAGGAGACCAAAATGAAGTTAAGTTACTTGCCCCAAATCACATAACTTATGAGAGGAAAGCTCTGTTACAGGACCTACCAAGCTGAAGTAATAGAAGAACTCTAAGAGCAGGGTTGGTAATATAGGGAGGCCATGGGAACAACAGGGGCTCAATCTGACTTTTAAAGAAATGGGTGCACTGTAGGGTGGGCTGGGCACAGACATGAGAAATGGTGCAGATCACAGATCTTAGCTATAAGAGCTAAGAAGCATGGGTTTCACTCTGCAGCAGTGGAGAGTAATGAGCAGAGTTTGACTCAAGGAGTCCTCTTAGATTGGGTTCCCAAGAAACAGGTCCAAAGACAAGGACCTGAATGCAATTAGTCTCTTTGGAAATAAATAAACCAGAAAAATGAGAAAGTAAGACAGGGAAAAGGAGGAATTTTTTTTAAAAAAAGAAGAAACATATTAACTAGCAAAAAAAATGGATATTATTGATCAGGCTTATTTGGCAAGCGAAGAGTGCATGTGCCTTCTTGACCCTCTGCACAGAAGGTTATTAACCACTGTGGGAAATAATCAAATCTACTGTCTTGTCTAGCATTTGTATCTTGGCAAGCACTATGCTGAGATATAAAAAGACACACAGAGGGGGTTGGGAGGAGAGAGAGAGGGAAGAAAGAGAAAGAAATTAGAAAAAAGATGTCTCAAAAATATAACCTCTCTACTGTTATCCTCAGAAATGAAACTAAACTCTATGTTATAAGGCTTTTTTTTTTCTCCCAAGCCATCTAATTATAGGCAATATAAAAACGCTTGTGGTTGAACTTCACACTGTGTGAAGAGACAGCTACAGAGAGGAAGATGCACAGTGGTATATGGTATATAGAAAGGGGCTTTACTTCCTGAACCCTTATATGCCCCACAGTGAGCACCATCATAGAAGTCTCAAGACCCTGTCCTGGCAGGGAGGTTGGCTTGTATGACAATAGGAAATGAAGAGGCAGAAAACATGAATAAAGCATTTGACCCCAAACTCTTAACAATATCTGCTTTTCATCTTTCCCATTATTTTAAAAAAGTAACTTCTAAGAGTGGGTAGAATAATTCATGTTACTAAGCCACTGAATCTCTAACAAATGGGTTAAAGCATCTTCATTTTACAGGGAAGTATAATAGCAATCCTTTTACTAAACTTTAGGAGAGTAATCAGAAAGAAACAGAACCAAATACTGGCAATGCTCACATAGCCAAAGTATACAGCAATAGAAAGCTGACAACATAATTCGTATCTACGTGACCATTAACATGATGTTGTGAATCAATATAGACATGAAAACTATCTTATTAATTGAGAAAAATAAGTTAGAAAACAGCCTCATAGTATCTCAACTTTGTTTTTAAAATTTCTGTACAAATAAATAGATAAATGCTGTTAGAATAGGCAACAAAATGTGAGCAGTGGTTATATTTGCTGGGATAGTGTATATATGATTTCTACTTTTTTCTTTTTGATTTTCTATATTTTCCATTTCTTTTTCTTTAACGGTTAACAAGGAATTCATTTGTCATAAAAAAAAAAGATATCAATAAATACATTTTGAAAGAGCACTTTATATTTCTGTCTTCTCACCAGACCTCACAGCAAATGCTGCAAATATTTTAATAGGGCTGTCACAGGGATGTCCCTGGGGGTTTAAGAAAACAAACGAAAGTTCTGGAGCAGAGAAGCATGAACATGAAAGCATGTGAGAAGCAGAAGTTATTGCTGCTTTCCCAGCTCTGATGTGTGGTTTCTCAGTGAGATAATTATAACAATGAAGTTTTTAAAAAATGGTACAATCATAGTTAATTAGTTCCAGTTGCAGTTGGCTATTTTAACCCTCACCTCTGAATACTATTAGAAAGCAGATTGAATCTTGTGTGATAACCTGCATGAAATAGGTTTTTTTGTTCACTTGCTCATTTTGTTTTTATTTCATTGGTTTACTTTCCTTTATTTTTGGCAAACACCACCAAGGTAATAGATTAGATTACTGTTAAACCTATTATATATTATTTTAGCAGTGCCTATAAGACACTAATAAAGAGAAAATGCAATAGTATTGGCATGATTAAGTGAAAACTATTAATAAAAGAAAGAGTTCATCATAGTTATTGGATTTGAATGTATTAGAAAGAAGCACAGTATGTTGGGGGATGGCAAAATTGCGTTACAAAGTCATTCAAATTCTATATGGATTTTTTTAGTGAGTAATTAGTTTTTAAAACCATGGATACTGACAAAAATAAAGGAGTAGATGATGCAAAGCAGATGGATCATTTAATTTATTTCTCAATTACAGTTGACAGGTTGGGCACAGAAATCTGCAAGTCGTCTATTTCTTTATGGTCCATTTTGCAGCTGTGTTTATTGTCATAATAAATAAATACATTATCTCATTAATGGAACACTGAATTTTTTTTTTCCAAAAAACGCGCTCACACCCAATGTCCATGCTGCAAAGAAAATACAAAAACGGGAGAATGTTCACCCAACTGATGCAACAGAATAGGGTCCATGTTGGGTGGAGACTTTGGGAAATGAGAGTTGGTCACAACAAAGTAACCTGTTAGTTTTTAGATATGGTCTATTGGTGATTGAGACAGTTTCCCTCCCAGAGAGGCACACTAGAAAATACAATCACACTTGGAAATCCATGTGCATCCTAGTTAATGTATATTGCATTTGAGATGCAGATGGGTAATAAAGTTTATTACACTCCGTTTTAGGTTCTCTCTTTCACTAGAAATGCCAGAAAGACTTGAGGAAATATCAAAGCTAACCTCTGATGTTGTATTCAAAGTTGTAAAAGCAACAGACATTGGATTAGGAGCAGAGTGGTCCTTTATTCTCAAGTGAACAGATGGACTTTTATATATTAACAGCTTCCCCACAAAAGTAGTGTTGTTGGAGGTGAAATTCGGGGTAGGATATTGCTGAAGATTAGGTCTAATCAAGAAGTATATAAGTATTGATCACCCGTTATTTCTTCATTTTAGATTAAGAACTCATCCTGTCTATGAGTACCCAATGTTCTCAAGGATTTACAGAAATTGATGTGCTACCTGGAAACATACTCCCTAGCTTTGTTTGACCCTATAATCCATATATTAGCCCCATTTACTAATTCACTGGGCCATGTTTATGCAATAGCTGTCTTCATGAATTTTTTATGCAAACTGAATTTTAGGAATGTTAAAAGTAGACTCCATATTCATTCAGATCTACGTTTTTAAATCTCAGTTGTGCACATTTTAGTTTGATGACTTTTTGTTATTAACCTAATCTCTCTGAGCCTTAGATTCTTTATCTGAAACATAGGGATGATGAGAATATCTATTTCATTGAATGGTGAAATTAGATGAAGTAATTTATATGAATGCTTAGGAAAATGCCTGGCACAGACAAGTGCTAAAATTATTCTATATTACTGGAAATATAGCTACATTATTACGTATTCACATAACATATTGTTGTAATCTTTAATATAAAGAGCATCAAATACTCTCGTAAAGAGAAAACATATATTACATCTTGTTATAACCTGCATGAAATAGATTTTTTTCTTCACTTGCTCATTTTGTTTTTATTTCATTTGTTTACTTTCCTTTATTTTTGGCAAACACCAGCAGGGTAATAGATTAGACTACTGTTAAACCTATTTATGATATATTATTTTAGCAGTGCCTATAAGACACTAATAAAGAGTCCTCAGCTTCCTCAGTGGTATAAGCTTAGGGAGTTGGTGTGGGGACTTTTTTTTTATTATTATACTTTAAGTTCTAGGGTATATGTGCACAACGTGCTGTTTTGATACGTAGGTATACATGTGCCATGTTGGTTTGCCGCACCCATCAACTCATCATTTACATTAGGTATTTCTCCTAATGCTATCCTTCTCCCAGCCCCCATCCCCTGACGGGTGTGTGATGTTCCCCGCCCTGTGTCCAAGTGATATTGTTCAATTCCCACCTATGAGTGAGAACATGCAGCATTTGTTTTTCTGTCCTTGTGATTGTTTGCTGAAAATGATGGTTTCCAGCTTCATCCATGTCCCTGCAAAGGACATGAACTCATCCTTTTTTATGGCTGCATAGTATTCTATGGTGTATATGTGCCACATTTTCTTAATCCAGTCTCTCATTGATGGACATTTGGGTTGGTTCCAAGTCTTTGCTATTGCAAATAGCGCCGTAATAAATACACGTGTGCATGTGTCTTTATAGTAGCATGATTTATAGTCCTTTGGGTGTATACCCAGTAATGGAATTGCTGAGTCAAATGGTAATTCTGGTTCTAGATCCTTGAGGAATCACCACACTGTCTTCCACAATGGTGGAACCAATTTACACTCCCACCAACAGTGTAAAAGTGTTCCTATTTCTCCACATCCTCTCCAGCATCTGTTGTTTCCTGACTTTTTAATGATTGCCATTCTAACTGGCATGAGCTGGTATCTCATTGTGGTTTTGATTTGCATTTCTCTGATGACCAGTGATGATGAGCGTTTTTTCATGTGTCTGTTGGCTGCATAGATGTCTTCTTTTGAGAAGTGTCTGTTCATATCCTTTGCCCACTTTTTGATGGGGTTGTTTTTTTCTTGTAAATTTGTTTGAGGTCTTTGTAGATTCTGGATATTAGCTCTTTGTCAGGTGGATAGATTGCAAACATTTTCTCCCATTCTGTAGGTTGCCTGTTCACTCTGATGGTAGTTTCTTTCGCTGTGCAGAAGCTCTTTAGTTTAGTTAGATCTCATTTGTCTATTTTGGCTTTTGTTGCCATTGCTTTTGGTGTTTTAATCATGAAGTCCTTGCCCATGCCTATGTCTGGAATGATATTGCCTAGGCTTTCTTCTAGAGTTTTTATGATTTTAGATCTAACATTTAAGTCTTTAATCCATCTTGAATTAATTTTTGTGTAAGGAAGGGATCCAGTTTCAGCTTTCTACATATGGCTAGCCAGTTTTCCCAGTACCATTTATTAAATAGGAAATCCTTTCCCTATTTCTTGTTTTTGTCAGGTTTGTCAAAGATCAGATGGTTGTAGATGTGTAACATTATTTCTGAGGGCTCTGTGCTGTTCCATTGGTCTATATGTCTGTTTTGGTACCAGTACCATGCTGTTTTGGTTAGTGTAGCCTTGTAGTATAGTTTGAAGTCAGGTAGCATGATGCCTTCAGCTTTGTTCTTTTTGCTTAGGATTGTCTTGGTAATGCGGGCTCTTTTTTTGTTCCATATGAAGTTTAAAATAGATTTTTCCAATTATGTGAAGAAAGTCATTGGTAGCTTGATGGGGATGGCATTGAATCTATAAATTACTTTGGGCAGTATAGCCATTTTCACGATATTGATTCTTCCTATCCATGAGCATGGAATATTCTTCCATTTGTTTGTGTCCTTTTTTATTTCATTGAGCAGTGGTTTGTAGTTCTCCTTAAAGAGGTCCTTCACATCCCTTGTGTGGGGGTTTTCGTAAAGCAGACTATTTGTACACCAGTTTAAGATATGGAAAAATGACTTAAGCTCCAATAATCCATGTTACTTCAATGTGTCGTAACTTCAAATCCTTTTTATCTCCATTTTATGCTGGGGTGGGGTGCTGTACAAACATTCAAGCTTCAGAAAGGTGGCCAGTGGGTGGAGTGGTGTAAAGTCACTCTGTAAGTGTGTAAGTGGTGTAAAGCCAATCTGATGATAGATTTTGATCCCATTCAGGAGGTAAAAGTAAATCTAGAAAATGTGGTTTGGATTATAGCATATTAGAATGTCTGGTACCTTGTGTTCATAATTTCTAAAACTCACAGTCTATTCTGAACAGAGAGATCCTTACTGACACATCCAACAACACACAGATGCACATACACACACAGAAATCCAGAATTTGGGGGTCTGTCTGGTTTCAAGGATCTGGTGATGCACAGCTGCAATGGTCTCGCCCGACATTACTCCCTGATTAGCATCTAGTGGTGAGTCTAGAACAAAGAAGGAGGCTGACTAGAGGAGAAAATGAGAAATTAGCAAAGAAGAGAAGACTAGGCCTGGATACTGAGCTGTAGAGTGCTGAAACATCCTTCGGGAGGAAAAGTGTCTAATAAAGACTAAGATGTTGATTACTGTATGATTTCCATATGTAATATTTTGTTCATGATCTCTAAGTCTTCACTGATGTAAAATGAGTGAATTAAGTATGCAGTTGGGGTATTGATGAGTAAAGCATTAAAGGACTAAGCTTTGTTCTGGATCAGAATTCAAGAAAAAAGAGAAAAATTACCAGCCCCCCAAAGCAGGGGAAATCAAGGAAGCTGAAACCCACATGGAAATTCACAGAAATCTTTTGGGAGAGCTGTGGACTCCCAAAGGCCATGAAATCATGTGTGTCCTACACTTAAGGCAATCTTGCCTACATCTTAAGGGTCAGTAGCTGTGACAAACATCTGGTCTACAGATATAATTTTTGAGACATTTACCATTGAGAGCTTATCACCTACATATGCCTTGTGATTAAAAGCATGAACTCTCTACACAGTGACGGGGAAGCAGCCTTGTTTGTTTGTTTCTAAAGGTCCCCAAGGAAAAGTGGCCATAGGTGCTATACCTCTGTGGAGACAACTTCACAAAGGGTGTTTCTTTCTTTCACTAAGTGATGAATAAAGAGAATGCGGTTTACTCCATGTCTCCTCAGAAGCACAGCCTGTCAAAGCTCTAGGCTCTCCATCCTTGCGAAGCCCAATTTTCCTGAGTTTACAGCTCAACTTACTGGTGAGCAAACTCAATCTCTCTCTCCATCTCTGCTCGGTGGGGGCGTTGCATGAATAATGGTGACAGCTATAGACAGGCAGTCCTGGAGAACAATTGTGAGAAAGCAGGGGTGGTTGGCAGTGGTTTTCAGGAGTGTGAAGGGATGTGTGGGTTTCTTTAAGATGCTAATTCCATGAGTCTCAGTAGGCTGCACTTGGAAGGGTAAATGGGGAAACAGTCAAAAGAGTTTTAATTTCAGGCTTTGGTCACAATTGCAGTAGAAATTTGGTGACAGGTGGTTGCAGCTTCCCTGCCGTGATTTTAAACTCATTAAAAAATTATATAACTTGACCATCAGGTGGCAAAAGAGTAAGGCTGAAATAGAAAACTTCTCATTTTTAGTTCAATGTTGCCTTCTTCTACACATATTATCTATATCTCAAGTCAGAAATGGGATTGAGCATGAATTTGTGCATGTTTAAAAGACACAGTCTTGGAGAGAGTATTATCATAGAAGAATCTGGCATAGCAGTCCACGGGCATTTCTGCATTATAGAACTTAACACAAAGGATCACTGAATCCCAGCAAGGTACAAGACAAAATCATCATTTTTACCTAGAAATAGATCCCGAATCCTATAGGCATTAGGTTTGGGGACCAAAGCAGAAACTTTCCTGCTCATTACCATAGTTATATACCTATTCATTTGTTCTATCCAAAGCAATTAGTTCAAGCAATCTTTTAAGTGCTATCAGTTATGGATTTTATTAGGCTGTATATAAAAGAAATCCATTATAATGGCTTGTTCAAAAGGAGGGCTAGGTAATCCTGGCTGCTCCATTTTTAATCATGTAGGGCTAGGTAATCCTGGCTGCTCAAAGAACCAGGCTCCTTCTATCTCCCTCTACCTTAGCACATGGATTTCTCTCTCTCATCTTGCAGAAAGACTTCTTTTCTTGCCCTGTGTCAGCATTATAGGCAGAAAAAAAGAGGGAAGCAACAAGAAGTGATAATGCTTGCGTTAAAAAAGCAACATATTTCCAAAAATTTCCAACACATATTTCCTTATATTCATTGGCAAGCACTGTCATTTAAACTTTCTAGTTTTTTAAAAAAAAAAAAAAAACTAGAAAATGAATATTTTAGTTGGCACTACCATTGACTGAAATATAATTAAAAGGGAAGAAGAATAGAAGAGATATTGGGAAGTCAATCAGTCATACCTGCCACACCTATGCTGGTCTCATGCAGATAAGGTTCTGCTATGGAGGAATCCAGGCCATGAAGCAAATAACACTAATTTATTCATATACTCATTTACTCATTGAGCAAATGCTTATTGAGGTATTATAGTCGTGGTTTTGACGGTCCAAAAAATAGATACAATCCCTTCCTTCAAGTATCTTATCATCCAGTGAGAGGAGACAGACAGATGTTTGCCCTGCAACATGATACCAGCTGAGAGGAGAGTCATGGTGCCACTACGAAAGCACAAAGAAAGGGCAACAGGACCCCCCAGGAAGGAAGCAAGAGAAGACTTCTCAGATGAGTTGCTTTCTAAAGATACTGATACAAATCGAATTTTAATTGGGCTAAATGAAGTAAGCCAGACACGAAAAGAAAAATATATGATCTCACTTATATGTAAACTCTATTTTTAAAAACATCAAATGATATAAAGATAGAAAATAAAACAGTGGTGATCAGGGTCAGGATAGGGTGGGGGTGAAATGCGGTAATGTAGCTCCAGGGATACAAAGTAGCAAATATGTAGGATAAACAGGTGGAAAATTGGAATGTACAACATGAGAACTAGAGTTAATAGTGTATTGTGTTCAGGACTTTTGCTAAATGAGTAGATTATAGTTCCTTTTGTCACAGGGGAGAAAATAGGTAACTGTGTGAGATGTAGATATGTTAAATTGTGCCACTAAAGTGACTATTTTATATGTATGTATCTCATAGCATCAAGTTGAATACCTTAAATATACAGTAGTCTCCCCTTATCTGTGCTTTCACTTTCCAAGATTTCAGTTACTCATAATCAACAGTGCTCTGAGAATATTAAACAGAACAGGACAGAAATAAACAATTCATAAATTTTAAATTGTGTTCTGTTCTGAATAGCATGATGAAATTTCATGCCTTCTGGCTCTTTCCTACCCAGGATGTGAATCATACCTTTGTGTAGCCTATCCATCCTGTCTCTGTTCCCCACCCATTAGTCACTTAGCAGCTGTCTCAATTATCTGATCAACTGTCATGGGATTGCAGTACTTGCGTTAGAATGAACCTTATTTTATTTAATTTTAGCTTATCTGCATGAGACCATCATAGGTGTGGCAGACATGGCTGACTGACTTCCATTATCTCCTCTACTGTTCTTCCTTTTTAATAAAACTCTCATTTTATTTCAGTCAGCGATATTCCCGAAAGCGCAAAAGTAGTGTTGCTGGCAATTTGGATATGGCAAAGAGAAGCCCTAAAGCACTCTGTCACAGGATCCTTGGGGTGTCACTTTGCCAGCCGGAAACCTCTGTGGCTGGTGGCACCTTCTGCCTAAGTGTTGCTTGTGCCCACTGGCCCCTGCTGCCCACTCAGCTTGGCAGGCTGCACTCAGTCTGTGTAACTGGCCTGGATCCCACGCCTACCAAGGGCGAGTCAGGTGCAGAGCGGCAAGGAATATGCTGGTGAGCGCGTACAGGGTTCGGCCATTGCGCACAGCCAGGCACAGCCAGTGCCTAGAGCTGCCTGGCTGCTGTGGCGGGACAGGCAGCTCTAGGCATTGGCACAGGCGCCGGCTCCATGTGAGGCTGCAGCTGGACAAGACGTACTGCAAGCGGCTTGCTGCAGGCACAGGCGTCCGGGACGGGGAGATGCGGTGGCACCCAAAAGCTTGGAGACGCCAGAAACCACAGAGCCCCCAAAAGAGTGTTACATCCCTGGCTTGGGGAGCCCCTAGGTCTGGGTTCCCTGAAAAGCCACAAGTCTTCTCTTCTTCTTGTCGCACACAGCGTGAGTTGGACAGGGGAGTGTTTCAGTCCTGTTTGTGTTACAGCTCTTTCAGTCCCACCATTCAGCAGGTCCCAAGTTCTTGTCCCACATCCAGGAAGAAGGAGGCACACACAACTGGAGAGCTAGCTAGGCACAGAGGAGCTTCACTGAGCGGCAGAACAGCTCTCAGGATACCTGAAGTGGGTAGCTCATTTCCACGGGCAGATCATCCTGAGGAGTCTCCAGCTTTCAGAAGAGAGGAGACTTGTAGTGGGTAGCCCCTTTCAGCAGACAGGTTGTCCTATGGAGGAGACTGGATGTGGGTAGCTCCCTCCCTCTGCTGGTAGTCCTAATATCTGTCTGATTCTGGCAGAGCCGGGGGTTTTTATGGACTCAGGAGGGAGGACTTGCGTGCTGATTGGTCCATGGGTGGCCATCAGCAGGCGCAGAAAAAGCACCATAAGTTATCACTCTGTGAGGCAGACTCCACCCAGAACTGGAAGCTCAGCCTCCAGGCTTCAGGCTATCCCTGGCTTGAAGGTGGGGCTTCACCAGACCCGCCCTTTCAGCTCAGGAATCTTTCTGCCTCCCACCATCAACATGCGGTTCACTGGACCCAGGTTGTTCTTTCCAAGGGGGCCTGCAGGCCCACGCTGAGCTGCCCTCAGCCCCTTGGCCTCCCTCCCACGCTCATCGGTGCCCAAAGTCCAGAGGGGGCTGAGGCGGCAGGGGCCTGGCATGTCAGCACCACCCTGAGTGTGCACACACCCAGCTGGGTGGTGACAGCACCCGGGCTCAGCCACAACATTGCTCCAAAGTCGGAGTAGGCACTGGGAGTAGGGAGAGGCCAGGAGTGGGTGCAGGCATTTCCAAGACTGCTGTGGGGGGTAGTTTCCTGGGCCCCTGAGAGCACAGGGATGCCTGGGTCCGGAGTTGCAACTGGACATATGCAGCTGTGCCTGGGAGCACAGGGCTCCCTTCCCGCCAACTCGGTAGGGGCTGAATGTCCTGCCTGTTCCTGGCTCCCACTGGGTGGAGTGCACAACCCTAGCTGTGCCTCTCCTGCTGTGGCTGGCATCTTTGCAGGGGACACTCCAAATGGCTGCCGCTGCCATCACTTCCTTTAAGTGAAAAGGTGAAAATTCTTGACTTAATAAGGAAAGGATAAAAATTGTATGCTTCGGGAGTTGGAGACCAGCCTGACCAAGCATAGCAAAACCCCATCTCTACTAAAAAGACCAAACTAACTGGGTGTGGTGGTGCATGCCTGTAATCCCAGCTACTCAGGGGGCTGAGGCAGGAGAATCGCTCGCACCCGGGAGGCGGAGGTTGCCGTGAGCTGAGATCGCGCCATTGAACTCCAGCCTGGGGAGCAAGAGAAACTCCGTCTCAAAAAATAAAAATAAAATATTGTATGCTGAGGTATCCAGATGAGCCTTTTTGAGAGCACCTTGTATTCTGTTGCTCCAGACAAGCAGGGATTTGGAATTGTGTTAATTCCTTTACAGCAACAGGGCTTTGGCATTAGTTGTGACTTTTCAGGCAGTTCTCTGCAGAGATAGCCCAGTCAATTCCCAGAGAAAGGACTGGATCCTTCAGCTTTGCCTTAATTGACACACTATTATCTTCAAACACCTTTTTCCAGTGTCCCTGGGTATTTGAGAAACAATGTTTCTTTTATGTCAGTTTAACTGAAGTGAAGCAAGAAGAAAAATACTGAAACCTATGATAAATTATTAGGTCACAATTATTTTCAAATACTGCTTAATTTTACTCTTTTTTGACTAGGCATTCCTATTATTCCAAGATTCATATTTATTAATTTTATTCTGATTTCTAGGTGGTTGACTGCCAAGTGCAATGTACCTTCGAGGGAGCTAAAAGTCCCTCTCCTTGCATTGGTTAAAGCAACATTAATGATTACTGTGATCTGAACAACGTTCTATATCCTATGACTACATTAATTTACTACACAAAGCCCCTGCCTGCCTAAAACTGACACTCTAATGAAGGGACAGTCATCAAATAGGCAATCAAGGTAATAATACAATATAGAATTCTTATAAAGAAGGAATCCAGGCTACTATAAAAGAAGATAGCATGAGGACTTAATTTATGTTAGACTCCTAGGATATCTTTACTGGAGATGCAAATTTTACTCTGAATAATGGGAATAAATGTAGTGGTTGGGGAGAAAAAAATTGGAAAGGGAGAAATGAGTTTGGTACACTTAAGAAACAGAAAGAAGATGAATGTGACTAGCGTATGCGCTAGGAGAGAGAAAAAGTCATGTAAGTTAAGAGAAGGGTGGTAGTCAGGGGTTTTACGTAGGAAATAGAACTTGAAACTTCACAAGTTTCTGGCAATTATTTTTCCTGTGATGAGGTGAATGAGCTTGCCCTTCTCCTACCCATGCTTTCTCTTGAGTCAACGCAAAGCCCAGCAATGGTCTGCAGTTCTAAGGAATGGCATCAGTTATCTTCATTCTTCCTGAAGAAGTTTTCAAAGTCCCTTGGAAAAGCAAAATATGAAACAGATTAAATTATAAAGTACCTTGGAGAAGGCCAGCTGTTTGCTTATAAACCTTCCTTTGCATTCCACGTGAAATAATATTTCCAGCTATTTCTTTTTGAATGCTCTTGTTCGCTTTAATATTTGTGCTTGGCTGAAAGAAAGGCCTGTGGGGTTTGTGGAAGTTGACATTCACAGTATCCAATTTTTAAAGCTCTGTGTAAAAATGCCACTAAATTGATTCAAACCTACTTTTACTCATCACCTGCGCTGGTAAATACGCAAAGGGTTTGCATATGCAAATTTTTTAGAGTGCCCTCCAGAGGAGACCGAACACACATCTTAGTATATGCATCTTTAAAGTGCTCTTCCTGGAGCTTTTGCAAGGACCGTATTATTTAGGGTGCAACAATCTCTTCAACCTTCCTGGAAATGAAAAGTTTCACATCCAAAACATCTACTAGAATGGTCTTTAAGAATTCATTTTCAAGCAGAATTTGCAGATTTGCCATTAGGAGTATTTTGGCTTTGAGAACACAAGGTGTCATATGCCATGCCCTTGAAATAGCCTGGGTTGTTTCTAAGCTGAATCAGGAATAAACAAGAGCCAGGATTCACCCTTATTGACAAAACATACCTATATATACACATATGAATGTATACATATTTGCATACATACATACATATAAATGTATGTATACATTTTAAAATTATATATAATATAATTATATAAGATAATATACTATAATTACATAATAGATATAATTTAAAAGACCATAGGCCAAACATAGTTACAATTATACTCCCAGGGATAACTGGCACACAGAAATGATTATTCCCACTTGATATTGACATGATTCACGTCATGCATGACAAACCCTTCCACTTACAAGGACATTTCAAATGCAGACACTGTGTGCTCTTAGATTTTCAAACCATCTTCTTCAAGAGAAAGGAACATAATAATAGCTATCATTTGCTGAGCATATACTGATGTCAGACACTGAGCTAAGCATTAAACAACCATTATTTCATTTAATATTTAGAGCAACTCCATAACAAAGATGTATAATACTATTATCTCTATTTTTCATGTAAACAAATTGAGGCATATATAGGTTACCTAGTTTGCTCAAGAACAAATATGTGCAATAAAATCAGTATTAGAAACCAGTCTAGGATGACCTTTAGAGCGTAAGCTTTTGAAATATCTTTGAAATAGATGGTGATGGATAAAGAAACAGCCCTGTATCTGGAGCCAGGAGGACTGAGTTTAAATTCTTACCACCCAATTATCATTGGTCCCTCTGAATAAGCCATCCCATTTATTCACAGGTGAAATCTTCTGAGGAATTTTTTTTTATCTGGGAAAAGTGCACTTACATTGCCTATTATTAAGCTAAGAAACCACTGTTTAACTGGAACTTTAGCATTGTACTGAAAATCAGACAAAAGTCATAATTTTTGCTCATGTGTGGTTCCTTTGCTGTACTACAACATGCTTCATGAGTGATTGGTCATTCACATATGAAAAGCAATTGTGAAATCTTGCCTTTGATGACACTTATCTCCAATTAACTTCCAGTATATTAGACGGTTAGAACTATATATTAAAAATAATCACATGAAATTTGGAGAAAGCTTATAGATGGCTTAAAATCTATTAGTAATGTCCTATTTC
Source organism: Homo sapiens (assembly GCF_000001405.40). Taxonomy (NCBI): domain Eukaryota; kingdom Metazoa; phylum Chordata; class Mammalia; order Primates; family Hominidae; genus Homo; species Homo sapiens. Next base: position 107,541,453 of record NC_000010.11, on the reverse strand, counting down.
TGTATCTGGGAGGTAGGTATATGTGAATCCATTAAATTATTTGTTATATACTTTACCTGTGGAAATAATAATAAATCAAAAGTTTATTGCAGACAAAAATAAATCTTCAAAATGCCTATGATTTCCAGATAGAATACCCTTATATTTTGTATTTCTTATGTTCTCTTCTCACAGAAACCTCCCAGAAGCAGATGCCTCACCTCTTTTGCCAATAATCCTTCTCTGAATTACTGTGCTGAGCATCTTATGTGACTCATGATTAAACTGTTTCATGTGTAATTGTATATCTTCAGATGGAATATATTCACCCTGAGAACAGGTGCTGCATCTTCCAATCCAGTGTTTATTTCCTTGTGGCATGAATTTAACTGTAAAACTAATGACGGAAGGAGCCAGCTTTCTTTTCTTTTTAAACTTTAAAAAAATATTTTTAACTGACTCATTGGAATTCTACACATTTATAAGATACAATTTGGTGTTTTGGTACATATATATGTTATATAATCACATGAACAAATCAGGAGAGTTAGCATATCCATCACCTTCATGCATTTATCCTTCTTTGCGGTGAGAACATTCAAAAGCCTCACTTCTAGCTATTTTGTAATATAAATATCTTACTGTTAACTATAGTGATTCTACTGTACAACAGAGCACAAAAACTTACTTCTATACAATTGTAACTGTGTACCTATTTGGCCAATCTGTCCCCATTCTCCCCTTTTCCATACCCTCTCAGTCTCTGGTAACTACTATTCTACTCTCAGATTCTGTTATATAAACTCTTTGTTTTTGGCAGGTTCTACACATGAGTGAGATCATGTGATATTTTTCTATCTGTATCTGGTGATTTCGCTTAACGTGATGTCCTCCGGGTCCATGCATGTTGTTGCAAATGACAGGATTTCATAATTTTTATGACTGACTCGTATTCTATTGTGTATACATACCATATTTTTTAATCTATTCATTCATTGTTAGACACTTAGGTTGATTCCATACCTTGGCTATTGTAAGTAATGCTGCAATAAACATAGGAATGCAGATATCTCTTTCACACACTGATTTTACTTCCTTTGGATATATACCAAAGGAAGGGTTAGCTGTATCATATGGCAATTCTATTTTTAATTTTTGGAGAAACTCTCATACTTGTATTCGTAATGGCTGTACTAATTTACATTCAACAGTTTGCAAGTATTCTCTTTTTCTCCACATCCTTGCCAACAATTGTTTTCTTTCTCTTTTTGGTAATAGCCGTTTTATCTGTAATGAGGTCATATCTCAATGTGATTTTGATGTACATTTCTTTGATAGTTAGTGATGTGGAGCATTTTTTCCTATAACTATTGGCTATTTGTATGTCTTCTTTTGAGAAATGTCTATTCAGGTCTTCTGGACATTTTTTAATGTGGTTATTTGTTTTTTAGTTTTTTGGGGTTTTTTTTTTGGCTGAGTTGTTTAAGCTCCTTATATGTTCTGAATGCTAACCCTTTGTCAGATGCTTACAACTAAATTCTCCTGTTCTGTAGGTTGTCTCTTCATTATATTAATGGTTTCCTTTGTTATGCAAATATTTTGTAGTTTGATGTAATCCCTTTTGTCTATTTTTGCTTTTGATGCCTGCATTTTTGAGGTCTTATTTTAAAAATGCTTGTTCAGCCCAATGTCATGACACATTCCCTTGTTCTCTTGTAGTACTCTTGTGATTTAGGGTTTTACATTTGAGTCTTCAATTTATTTTGAGTTGATTTTTGTATATCATGAGAGATAGGGATCTAGACTCATTCTTCTGCACACTGGATATCCAATTTTCCAAGCACAATTTATTGAAGGAACATCTTTTCCCCAATGTATGCTTTTGGCTCCTTCATGCAAAATCAGTTAGTTGTAAAGGTATGAATTTTGCACTGGTGCTCTCTGTACTGCTCCATTTGTCTATTCCTCTGTTTTTGTGTTAGTACCATGCTGTTTCAGTAGTACATTTGAAATTTGGTAGTGTAATGCCTCCAGATTTTTTCTTTTTGCTCAGCATTGTTTTGGCTATTAGGAGTCTGTTGTGGTTCCATATAATTTTAGAATCTTTTTTTCTATTTCTTTGAAGAATGTCATTGGTATTTTGATAAGAATTGTACTAAATCTGTAGATAGCTTTTGGTAGTATGGCCACTTTAACAAAATTAAATTTTTTAATCCATGAACATGTTTTCTAATGGGCTGTCTTTTCATTTATTTATGTTCTCTCTAACTTCTTTCATCAATGTTTTTCATCAGTGGTTTTCAGCTTAGAGATATTTCACCTCTTTGCTTAAGTTTATTCCTAGGTGTTAGCAATTAAGAATTGATTTCTTAATGTTTTTCAGATAATTTAATATTAATGTACAGATATACTGATTTTTTGTATGTTGATTTTGAATCTTGCAAATTGGCTGAATTTCTTAGTTCTACCAGTTTTTAGTGGAATATTTAGGGTTTTCTCTATATAAGACGGAGACATCTATCCACCCTGTCATCTACAAACAGGGACAATTTATGTTTTTCCTGTTCAATTTGGAGGGTTTTTATTTCTTTATCTTGCTTAATTGTTCTGGCTAGGGCTTCCAGTATTATGTGTACTAGACATGGTGAAAGTGAGCATCCTTGTCTTGCTCCTGATCTTAGAGGAAAAACGCTCAGCTTTTTCACATTAAGTATAACGTGAGCTGTGGTTTTTTCGTATACAGACTTTATTGTGTTGAAGTACATGCATTCTACTCTTAATTTGTAGTGAATTTTTATCAGGAGGGGATATTGCATTTTGTCAAATGCTTTTTCTGCATCTATTGCAATAATCATGTTTTTCATCTTTCTTTCTGTTGATGTGGTGTATCATATTTATGTATGTGTGTATGTTGAGCCATCTTTGCATTCCTGGGATGACTTCCACCTGATCATAGTGAATGATCCTCAGATAACATACAGCAAGTCACTGCATTTCTCTGGGCTTACATGTCCTCTTCTGGGAAATGGAGGTGTTGGGTTTAAATTCTACTTTCTCTTCTAACTGATATTCTATGATTCTGTGAATTCTTATGTAAAAATAACTACGAGTAATCCCCAGAAAAGAACAGCTCTCAAATTCTAAGATGCCTCCCAAATCTTAGTGTAAGCAAAAACATTTTAAAGATAGATATGCAGTAATTGGGATGAAACCATAAATTTTTGAAAACAAAACTTCTGAATTTGAAGGAAATAAGTGGCAATCTTTCAAAAGTCACATCTGTTTCTGAAGGCTACAATTTTCCTTCCCATATTCTGACCATTTAAATGCCAAAACTCAAAGCCTCTTTTTGGATGTCCTATGTGTGACACCCACAATATAAGCATGCGGGTTCCTGAGACACTTGTCTGCCAAGTAACCATGCAGTTTCTGAACTGCATTGTGAAGCATCGTTCAGTGAAGGACATCTTATATGATTTCTCAAACAAATAAAATTCTTAGGTTTGGACATTGATTAATTTTCTCTGACTCATATCCCCTGATAAATTTTAGATATGAGAAAAGCCTGTTTAAGGGTCCTTCCCTGTCTTTCCCATTTCAAATTTTTCTCTTTTCTTCCCACTCCTCCCACTTCAACATAAGGACAGGATCCTCTGTATATACTGCTGGAGTTTGTATGTTTAAGACTCAGAGATTGTATCACTTGTACTAATGTGGTTTATTACCTTTTGTCTCTCTGTGTGCTCCCATTATTACTTACAAAGGCTGAAAATTTCAAATAAAGTACTTAATTTACAGCCTACTTTGGGATTAGCTGGGACCTAACAGACCAATGGGACCTCAAAGAGGCAAAAGAATGTGCACCAAGAGAAATCAAGTGTGGAGGGAGGTAAGATGGGAGAGATAAGCAGGGGACTTACAAAAGAGATGTAGCGAACATACTCTTCTTCCTGTCTTTGGATGTGGACATCGGTGAGCATGTTATCTGTGGTAGTGGCAGCCAGCTTGTGATCTAGAGAGCATAGACCTGAGTATTGAGGCCAGCAAGCTGGACACAGCTAAGGAGAATGATGGAAGCACTTGGATCATTGATGGTGTCATTGTTATGTTTAATGAATAGACCCTGGGACCCTCTATATCTTGCTTAGTGACAAAAGAAACAAGCATATTCTAAGTTGTTTTAATTGAGGTATTCTGCTAAATACAGCTAACATCTTTCTGATTCAAGTCCAATGTATACTTGGTGAGAATTTTCACCCTCTGCCTCTTGCACCATGTTTTAGTTCACAACCACACTAGAAGTGAGGTGATACATTCTCCCTAATTTCTAACAGTTGGGGGAAATTTTAGATACAATAAATAAAATTTAACTGTGAAAAGTACATGGAATAACTATTTATATTTTGAAGCATAAGCCAAAATTTATTTACTTTGCAACTGTAAAAAAAAAAAAATCACAATTTTGGTTAAGGTAAACCTAAAATTAAGGAAAATTTGAGCACTTGGTGAGGTCAAACAGGAAACACTATGTCTTAGGGCTAAGGGATGTAAACATACTTTATTACAAATAATGTTTAAAACCAAGGCTAGTAATACCCAAGGCATCTGAGTTATAAAGCCTGTCCTTCGTCCATTGGATGGGCTGAGGTGAATGTAAATGCAGATAAATCGGGAAGCACACTTACTTCTTCCTGTCTTTCATCTGAAGCACTCAAAGATCTAGAGAACATAACTAAGCAATAATAGTCACATATCTTAATTATGGCCTTTGTATTGCTTTAGTTACCTGCCTGGCCTCAAGTCATTGCTTTCAAAAAGTATTGTAATTAGCTAAAAGATGGCAATTACCTTTCCTAGTTTCCTGTGATAAACAAGTATGTTCCTCAGATCTCGTAAGCAGCTTCAGTACTACTTGAGAGAATTGGGGGAATTTAAAAATGGCATTTTAGTTATCACTAGTTAATATTTTGTTCAGTAGAGAAAAAATTAATTTGCTTAATTTGTTGGAGGTGGTGTTTGTCTCACACTAGCTGACCTCTGTGATCTACTGGGATCTACTCATCAGCTCTGGCTCACCAAGTTGAATATATTGCTCTAGATTATTACTTTCATACTAAAATTACAGAGAGAGAAAAGGAGTTTAATTATTGAAATAAAATTTAAAAGTATATTTTATTTCTGAGAACATAGCATAGTTAAATGGAAATTAGAGTAACATTCATTACTGAATTGCTGTCCACAAATGCATTGTGTCCCCTGGGCTAGGCTGCTTTCTTGGTAGCAGAACTTATTGCTAATTGCTTTCATCGACATGTCAGACTGAGGCTGAAAAACAAACAGTGTATTTCAAAATGTCTTCTCTCTTAATTAATTATGACAGACTAATTTGATTCAATCTTAAGGCCAAGTTGGAACTTGGCAATATTTTTTTTTAAGATGTTAAGAAGAGCAAGTTTATAAAGGCATGGAATGAAAGTAAATGTCCTTCCACAGTTTTTTTTTTTAAATAAGGTGTCCAAACAATTTTCCCAATTTTGCTGAACTAGCTGTTATAAATATTAACTTTTTTTAACTGACATGATTCTTCTGCTATCATTAGTGAACTATGGAAAATTAGGTCCAGATGTAGAAATCATTTGGCAATTATTCAAATGGTTGGAGTGTCTTTCCCAGGAAAAATTATGAAAAGTGAAGTGTCAATGTTGGATGGGCGCATATTTTATACATTTATCAGCAATTGGGTAAAGAGTGAGCTTCTTTCTGATACTGAGTGTGCTGAGGGTTCTTTACACAGAATATTGAGTGAAGTCATTCAGTTCAACTAGTATTTATTATATCTATACTGTATTTATGGGAACCACCCCATCTGTCCCACCCACACTCAATCAACCAGCTACAAAAGTGAGATTACAGATAGTTTAACACTCAAGAATAAACACATCTGCCATTTATTAAAAGCTCTTGGGTGCAATGCTTGAACTCTTGAAAAATCAGGCCCAGGAAATTTATAAATTATATCCAGGAAGGAATTGAATCAGGATTCAGACAGTGGCTTATTTTGTTATTCCATAACTGTGCTCTTAATCTTCCCTATAACTCAACACACACACACACACACACACATACACACACACACACACACACACACACACACACACGCAGCATAAGGAAGGTTGCTGTAGTGTTGACACTAACTGCATTGAAGGGAGAAAAGAAAAATACATTCTATAGGAGAAACTAATGAGGGCCAAAGCCAGTGGGTCTGAAAGCTTCTACCACCACATCCTCAAAGGTTTTGGTGAATGTTACAAAGAAAAATTATGAGACATAATTGTGGGCTCCAAATTGAAAGTGTGAAGACAAAGTCATGATGAACTTCCTGTACCTCTTCCTGTGAAAATGTATTAGACACTAACTGAATAAATCCAGTACAGATAGGACCAGAGCATGATCCTATTTTATTTTCTTTAAAATACTTGTTTACTTAAAAAAGTAAGAAATAATTTTAGATATATACTTTGTAGTATACATGGGTCTTAGTTCCCATTTTATTTTTAGAATAAATATGGTTAAACCAGGAAACATATCATGCCATGCTCAACTAAAGGATTTTCAAAACTCAAACATTCAGAAAAATATAATATCCTCTTTATATTATTTAAGAATTATTCAATTATATCATAAAGCTAGTTGGAAGTGAGGCAAATTATACAAGATTTGAAAGGGACGATTGTAGAAGTAAACAGGACAGTAGATATAAACAGTACTGAGAATGATGCCTAGCACAAAGTAGGTGCTAACTAAATATTTGATAGATTATTAAATAAATGGCAATGGCTGTGTATTAAACTATTTGAGAGTATATGAACATTTACTATAGTATAAAATTTTATTGGTCATTGACCAAATGTCAATGTCTTGAAATTTTATTTAAGTTATAACATCTGAAAATATCATTCACTCTGAAGAACATACAGGAGAAAAAAATCCAGCATTTGAATCATATACTAACATGCTAATTTTTATAAATAATATTAAAAATATTCCCAGTAGCTTGTTTCATTTTAGGTAAGATTTTGAACAAATAATCATTAGGAAATTCTTCAAAATATTAATTATTGCCTGTTTTATAGAGAGGATATTCATGAGGTCAGAGAAGCACTTTCCTATTTTCAAAATGCTTAGTAGATTTTTTAACATTACAAAATTATTTTAGAAAAAAATCTCTCTTCAATGTTTCAGAAATGAATGGTTTTTATAAGAGCCTAAATCTCTTCGAGTGAAAAATAATTTTAAATGGAATTTCACAAGACTTGATTTTTTAAAAATTTAGAACAAAAAGCGGTTTCTTAAGAGAGGTTCAGATTCAATTTTATTTTAGTGGTAGTTGCTCAGTGACTTGCATAAAATAAATTAGTCTTGTTTAGAACAACAGAAAGTACATAATAGAAAATGTAGTTAAGATTGATTTTAAAGTAAGACAGCATGGTTGCTTATCTGGCAAAATAATAGAAGAAAATATTCAGCTCATCTTTGTTAAATTATTAATCTAGTTCCCTTTTACAAAATTGTTAATATCTGAGGCCGAAAAGGAGAGGAGATGTAAAAGCCAGACTTCTCTAGTCAGCAGCCTGGTTGAAGAATAAAATTATGTTTACTCACACACATTATATTTTCATTAGGCTTATTGTAGTCCAAATAAAAGATATATTTCTCATTATTGATTATTTTTATATGACGTATGTAACAAATACTTAGTTAACTTTTGCCTGTTTAAACTATTCTCATGTATCTTTCTGGATGAGTCAAAATAATCTAACGAATCTATGCCATTTGCATCAAAGTTAACAACAGATGAAGTGCTGATTTTATGCAAGGCACTGTGTGTGCTAGGAATTGGAGCTATATGGCGACTCCGTACTCCAGAGGCTGCTGACCTACCTAATAAGAGTGGAATGAAAAATGCGCTCATTTACGAGGTTTAACAAAAGAAAAGCTCTCTCACCTCTGCTCCACACAACTGAAGCTCATCCACTGACAGAGTCTGCAGCCTTCTCAGAACTCCCTTAGCATTCTCTCATGCTTTCTTGTTGTATGAGGAAAATTATAGTGCCCCTTGTTCCTGAATATTTATTTTTCTGTTCTCAGAAGGTTATTTTAGTCACGTGGAATCTCCTTCAGTAATCAGGAGTTTTGATTTTTTTTTCTGGATTTTTCTCTCAGGCATACTTAAGGCAGGTTGAACACAGAACCCATATTAGCATGTATGCACATGAGCACACTTCTCATGTTAGCACCCGCCTGATATCAGTTCATGACCCAGGTCAGCTCATCCCAAGTTAACTGGCATTCCGTTTTAGCCAGTTAACATCTCAAGTTAGCACGTGTCCACAATCGTACAGATACCGCATTAGCCATCTCCCAAGTTAATGCACACCCCATATTAATGCATATTACTTACTTAATAAATGTAAGAAATAATTTTAGATACACACTTGGTAGTATACGTGGGTCTTATTTCCCATTTTATTTTTAGAATAAAGATGATTAAAGCAAGAAACATATCATGCCATGCTCCACTGAAAGATTTTTAAAACTCAAACACCCGGAAAAATATAATCTCCTCTTTTTATTATTTAAGTACTATTCAATGATATCATAAAGCTGGTTGGAAGTGAGGTAAATTATATGAGATTTGAAAGAGACAATTGTAGAAGTAAACAGGACAGTAGATATAAACAGTACCGAGAATGGTGCCTAGCACATAGTAGGCATATCCCAAGTTAATGCACAGCTTAGGTTAGTGTGTATCCCATGTTAGAGCATGTCCCATATCATTGCATGTTCTTGTTAACGCACATCCCATTTTAGCCAATCTCCTGTGTTCACACACACTCCATATTTGCACATGTGCCATGCCAGTGTATATCCCATTTTGACAAACACCCAATATAAGCACATGTACCGTGTTAGCATACAACACATGTTAACGCCCACCCCCTGCTAGGGCATATCCCATGTAATGCATGCCCCATATTAGTGCATGCCCCAGGTTAGTACCTGTCCCACATACAGCATACCCCATGCCAGCACATGTGTGCACATCCATGTGAGTGCATGTCCATGTTAGCATACATTCCATATTAGTCCATAACTCATATTTCCTCACATTAATGGAATCCAGATCTAGGGAATCCCGAGCTGTGCAACTTCCATGTGATAACATGTGCTATGCAGGCCCCTGATCTCTTTCCTCCTGCCTCCCTTGGTACATGTTTCTACACGACTGTCACCTCACCATTTGACAAAGGCTTCTGTGCTCCAGTCCTCCAGTCTGTATTCTGGCAGGAAGGGAGATAATGGGACAGATGTGGAAACAGCAACTGTCTATGTTTATGCTTTTGGCCAGCACTGTGTCTTATGGCCTATTTCTAAGTACAAAAGAGCTTAGAAATTGGATATTTTACCTTCTACAGACTCTACAATAAGAAGAGGTAAGGGGGAAATGGATGAAAAAATGGAGATAGTTTCACCAACATACAGTGTCAGCAGTGATGGAAATGTATGTGTATCTCTACAATTTACCTGAATGTTAATAAGAGTTATCACTAAAAGCTCTTGGAAATTCTGTAGAAATTGGGAATTTTCTCCCCTTAATATTAATTAAGGCAGTGTTTTCTTCCTAACAAGTTGAGATAATTTTTTTAATTAAGAAATCTAAATCTTCTGAGAATTGTATCCAGTTGTCAAAGCATCTGCAAACATTCACTATGACACCTGCCAAGTAAAGAAATTCTAAAGACCTTGGTTATGTCATTTTCTCACTTGCTTTCAAATTTGTTTACTTCATTTCTCTGGATCTAAAGGTTGATTCAATCAATTTTGGAAATGTTATTACAACTTACTCTTTGAAATGTCCTGGGTTTTATATATTTCACTAATAGACTATCTGATGTCTGTTTTTCTCTCTATTTTTTTTTATTTGGTGTCTCTAAGTGTCCTGCTCTGGGAAGAAAAATAGCTATTGACCTGAGGCTGACTCTAAGATCAGTATCACTCAAGAAAAGCAACTGTCCTTTATTTATTTAATCATTTGCTTGACATGGCTCTATCTCAACATTTAAGATATAAGACAGCTGTAGCTACCACCCAAGCTCTCCACTTGGTGCAGTTTCAAGGATGAATCCAGTCCCTGACACGTCCCAATATGGTGTCTTTCCCCACCTCCAGCTTTTTTGTTCTGCATGTGTGCTTGTGCATGTGGGCTTCGATTAAAAGTGGCTTCCTCCTGTTCTCTCCTATCTGAATGTGAATATCAACAGGCATCTGAGGGTGCTAAGAAAGTAACAACGGCAGGGTTTCTTTTATTGGCTTTGTCCTCTAATGTTACAGACTTTCCTCATGTCAAAGACATAAAGGAAAAGCACGGGTGACTCTTTAAAAACAGCATTAATAACATGGAAAAAAATGAAAATTTTTTTTTCCATGTTAAGAGCCAAGGAATAAACATGGAGTTCATTTAAAGAGCTTAAAGGATGAGCAGATGCAACTGTAGTGAAACTGGCTTTTTTTTTTTTAAAGGACATCATCAGAAGTTAAGGGCTAGGACCAGAATCAGTCAGCTGTACAGGTTTGTGCAATTTATGCCTATGGATAGCAAAAGAGGTGAATCGAAATAATCAACATACAGGCAAAGTCAGTCAGCTGGTTCTGCAGATTCTTTAATCCTCAGTCATTCTGCCTTTCATTCTCACCCAGTATTATATTTTGCTCATTTTGCAAGGCTCCAGCTCAGAGGCCATGTGTGCAAGGTGGACATGTTTGAGGATCCCAGAGGAAGAATCTAGAATCTAAGAAGCAGGAGTACTGATGCTTTGCAGAGAATCAAGTGGCCTAATAAGAGGCAGCAGGAGATGGTAGAAAAACCAAAGTGTTTGGCCTCCAGGTGACCAAGGTTCAAATCCTGACTCCACCACTTTCTCCTGTGAAACTCTGGGCAATCACTGCACCTCCGTGAGACTCAGTTTCCTCATCTTCAAATTGGTAGAAATAACAACTACCCTACAGAGTTCTTGCGAGGACTGAGTTTGATAAGCTGATGTGTATAAAGAACACAGAGTAATGTTCAATAAATTAGGGAAATTAATAAGAATAACTCAAACTATGTCAACAGGAAGCTCAGGATTCTAGAGTGTTACATAATGCTGTGATAGGGACAGGTGTGATTTTAACTGTGTTTATTATTTTTTATAAATAATTATCTGTGCTGAGGGTGGAAGCACTTGCTTTATAGCTGTATGTTAGAAGCTCTTCTTTCTTCCTGTAATGAAAGGTAGCAGTGCAGAGATTTTCTTTGATGTCCATCATTTTAAATCTTTTTGATTAATTATTCCATAGACAACATTTTCACTGCTGAAATTTGCATCTTATTTCCTTCATCTTCTTTTTGCCTATAAAGCTCATTGCAGAAATTTAATTATAATCACTTTATAATTACTATATTACATCATTACTTGATGTCACATCAAGCCTTTAACAATATTATTTAATATAAACCTCATCAAGTCTCAATGATAACCCATGATGTCTCTATAGTGACTAATCTCTTCTTGGGCTCTTTTGCTTCCCCCTACCCCGATACATTTGAAAGTGCTTTTGGATGATAGATGGTCTTAAATCCTACCCTGGTCGTAATCCACAACACCCACAAATGTCTTGTAGAACCTCCTTTCTCAGTCACAGCTTTGTTTCTCTCCACAGAAAATTACTTTCCTCCTCTCCCCTACAACTAACTTGAACTCTTCTTTCTTTCTGTCTTTTTTTTTTGTGTGTGTGAAAGGACATCAAAAAGTAAATAGCAGTTTCAGAAACAGTGCTGCTTTGTGACCTCCCTCAGGGCTGGCCTGTTATTATGCAATGTCAATCCCATGCCATTTATTCCATTATCACGGCTTTGCTACCTGTGTCTAGACAGCTTTGTGTATTCTGGACCAGACCCCCAAACCCATTAGAGGAAAACTATGTAAAAGAGAATAGGACTGTTTCCAAGAAGATTTCTATTTTATTTCTACCTAAGCTCTATGTAAGATTCTCAGTAAGTCACCTCACCGTTGTTGGGCTTGAAGCTTCTCATCTGTGATATGTGAAAATTGGATGGGATAGTGGTGAAAATTCATTACTGCTCTGTGTTTCAAATATGTATTTAGTTCAATTTATATTCTAATTGTTTACAAGCTAATGGAATCTCATCACTAGCTTTTATGCAAATAAGAAAATTCTCTATCATTTGTTGAACATTACTATATATAAAATTTTTTTTTTTCTCTTTCTGGTTTTTTTTTTTTTTTAATTATACTTTAAGTTTTAGCGTACATGTGCACATTGTGCAGGTTAGTTACATATGTATACATGTGCCATGCTGGTGCGCTGCACCCACTAACTCATCATCTAGCATTAGGTATATCTCCCAGTGCTATCCCTCCCCCCCTCCCCCTCCCCACCACAGTCCCCAGAGTGTGATATTCCCCTTCCTGTGTCCATGTGATCTCATTGTTCAATTCCCACCTATGAGTGAGAATATGCGGTGTTTGGTTTTTTGTTCTTGCGATAGTTTACTGAGAATGATGGTTTCCAATTTCATCCATGTCCCTACAAAGGACATGAACTCATCATTTTTTATGGCTGCATAGTATTCCATGGTGTAAAATTTTTATTAAAATATTAATATTAATATATTTTATTAATACAAAACTTAATTTTTATACATTAATAAAGAAGTATTCACCATCCATGGACACTTCTCAGTAAGGCATGTACCCAATTTGACTCAGTATAAGATATTCTGCTGAGGAGTTGATATTTGTGGTAGACAGTGCACTAGGGTGAGTAATACAATTCAAAGGTTCTTATTATTGATCTCATTTCACCTTATTCTTATAGATAGACTTATGTCTATCTATATGCCTATATTCATTTTTAATGTAAATGAGACTCCATTAGAGTTGTTCAGTACACAATCTAAATAATTGTATCCTAGCCCTTTGGGAGGCCGAGGTAGGTGGATCACTTGCAGCCAGGAGTTCAAGACCAGCCTGGCCAACATGGTGAATCCCCATCTCTACTAAAAATGCAAAAATCAGCCAGGTGTGGTGGCACAGGCCTGTAATCCCAGCTACTTGGGAGGCTGAGGCAGGAGAATCGCTTGAATCTGGGAGGCGGAGGTTGCAGTCAGCCAAGATAGCACCACTGCACTCCAGTCTGGTGCAACGGAGAGAGACTCTCGCAAAAAAAAAAAAAAAAAAAAAATTGTATACAGTAGCCCATTTAAAAAATAATTTTATGTGGTGGCTCTATTAAAAAGCAAAGAAACAAACAAATGAAATGAAATAGTCAGCACCAAGGCATGAATTACTAAGTACAAGATAAGTATCAACGTGGTGAAGATAAAAAAGAGAATTTCGGGTAGATGAATACAGTTGCTGATGTGCTGATGGGACATGTGGCAAGAGGTCAAATGTATCCCGGAGCAGAGATGGCAAGCAGGTTGCATCTGGCATGCCACTCCAATTTACAGTGACGGGGTATTGTTTTCAGGAGGATTCTGAGGTTGCACCCTGACAACAGAAGAGAATTCTGAGTCTTTAATGACGGGTGAAAGGAAGCGTAGAGGGCATGTATTTGCCACCTCTGTCCTAGAGATAGTTCACTGTCCATGGACACTTCTCAGTAAGGCAAGTACCCAATTTGACTCAGTATAAGATATTCTGCTGAGGAGTTGATATTTGTGGTAGAGAGTGTACAAGGGTGAGTAATACAATTCAAAGGTTCTTATAATTGACCTCATTTCACCTTCTAATACTTGTTTGTCTGTTCTCACATTTGAGTAATTCTACAAAATTATAAAACACTCAGAACCAGTCTTGATCTTGGAAAATATTGGTTCTGTTTAAGGATCTCCAGGGATAGAGAGATCACAATCTTCTTATGCAAACATTTTAAATCAGAGAGTATCTCTTCTTTATGAGGAAACTCTATCAACTTGTGCTAGTTCTACTTCTTTACACAACAAAATAACAACAACAACAGCAGCAAGATTGGTCTCATTCTTTCCCTGAAGGGCAGCTTTTTCAGGTATTAAAACCCAGTCTTCATGTTCCACCAAAGCTTCATCTCCAGGTAAGGCAGCCTTCACGCCCTGCAGTGTCCCTCCTCTGGGTGGAGTGGAGACATGCCAGTCTCTCTACTCTAAGTCTACTACTGTATATCTCAGTCTACTAAATGGTTGCCTCTAAAGTTCGAACTTTAGCTGTAATATGAATAGCAACAAGAAAGAGGACAGAAAATGCTATAACTATTTGGTAAGATCCCATCAGCTGGGTGCAGTGGCTCACGCCTGTAATCCCAGCACTTTGGGAGGCCTAGGTAGGCAGATCACGAGGTCAGGAGTTCGAGACCAGCCTGACCAACATGGTGAAACCCCGTCTCTACTAAAAATACAAAAATTAGCCTGGTGTAGTGGTGGGTACCTGTAGTCCCAGCTTCTCAGGGGGCTGAGGCAGGAGAATTGCTTGAACATGGGAGGCAGAGGCTGCAGTGACCAGAGATTGTGCCACTGCACTCTAGCCTGGGTGACAGAGCAAGACTCTGTCTCAAAAATAAAAAAAAAAAATTAAAAAAAGATCCCATCAACAGTTTTGAAGACCATATTACACTGAAAACTCATATTTGAGTTTACTGTCAATCCAACTTTCTAGGTTATTTACAAGTAGTTATCTACTAATAAAATGTGTTCCTTTCCATAATGAACAATTTAAATGTATCTAATATTATTTATTAAGTCTCAGTTCCTACAGTGGACCAAAGATTCATCCAGCAGGGACAATGGCACAAAAGTGATTGAAATATCCAGAAAAGTAAACCCAAGAAAGGCCAGTTTTGCCTCAGGAGGGTCTGAGGAACCGTGATTACCAAGGAGGTTTGGATTGGACGTGTTCTGAGCCTCTAGTACACAGCGCAAGCATAAGAATACCTGGGAAAGAACTCCAAATACAGTAGAAAGTTCAGTGAAGACATTCTAAAAATCTTAGTTTGAATAAGGATATATTTTTGTACTAATTTTGCTGAATATCTTCCTATCGACCTGGCTGGCGCCAACTAAAGCATTCCAATTTGGTAAAAAGAATTCCTCCCATTGGCACATTTGTTTGGATGGGACAACAAATCAAGTCATTTTGTGATAATTTTTAGCAAACCTTAACTGTTCTTTATATTATAATATTTTTAGGCTTTGGGAGATCATTTGATCTAGTTCAGAGCAGAGGATCATTCATACCTTTTTGGAAGCTCTCACTGATCATAGAACTCTTAACGTTCCCCATTTTCAATTTATGTTTTTAAATGTTTTTTAATTTTAAAGTTAACACTCAAATATAGGCCAGGCATAGCGGCTCACACCTGCAATCCCAACACTTTGGGAGGCCAAGATGGGCATATTGCTTGAGCTCAGGAGTCCTAGACCAGCCTAGGCAACTTGGCAAAATCCCATCTCTACAAAAAACATGAAAAATTAGCCAGGTGTGGTGGCACACACCTGTAGTCCTAGCTAATCAGGAGGCTGAGGATTGAAGAATCACTTGAGCTCTGGAGGTCAAGGCTGCAGTGAGCCATGATCAGGCCATTGCACTTCAACCTGGGAAACAGAGTAAGACCCTGTCTCAAAAATAAATAAATAAATAAAATCAAATATAAAAATGAACAAAACACAGAAATTTCTGCTCTAATATTTTATGATCTCCAAATCTGCTCCCTGGGAGAAACTCCTATTTAATGATTTAGATATATTTACTTGGCACTTCTAAATAATATATTTATGATTTTTCCTCATAATGCTATTGAAGTTACGGTTTTGCTGTCTTTGGCACCTGAGGCTTCTGTTGAGATGTCTGATGACATTCTGAACGCCATACATTTTTAGCCACTGTGGAACCTTTTAGGGAATTCTCTTTGTATTTGGAATTCTGAAATTCCACAGATATGCCCCTAGCTTTGGATCTATTTTCATTTATTGTGCTGAGCTAATAGCAAACTATTTCAGTCTGAAAATTAGTGTCATTTAGTTTTCAGAAATTGCAAGGTATGGTAAAGGCACTTATTCTCATTAAGTTCATTGGAAAAAAAATATCTATTTATTCACAGTAATTCTAGATTCTTTGAGGCTTCAGAGATGCTGTTTTGTGTAGTCACAATGGATTCTTTCCTTTTTTTTTTCTTTTTCAACGTTTATTTTAGATTCAGAGGGTACATGTGCAGGTTTGTTACCTGATTATATTGCATAATGCTGAGGCTTAAGGTAGAAATGATCCTGTCATTCAGGTACTGAGCATAGTATCTAACAGTTTTTCAATCCTTACCTACTCCTTCCCTCCTCCCTCTAGTAGTTTCCAGTGTCTATTGTGGCCAGGTCATGATGGTTTCTAAACTCATACCTCACCCCCTTCCACCACATACCATGCTCAGTTCAAGCTTTATATATTTTTTCAAGCCCCCTTCCCTTTTCCCTTATGCCCATTCAAATCCATAGTCACCAGAGTTGGACTCAAGAGCTATAGGCTCTAGGAAGAACTCTGACAATTCTAATTCTCATTTCTCTATTATTTTTGGAATCCGGTTGTCAATATTTTATAGTTTAACATCAAATTATACACATGGCAATAGGCGTGAAGAGCTGTAAAGTTATTAGCTTTTCCTAAGCTATGCTAATTAATCAAAAGATTTCAGGTGTCTTAAATAGCACACTATGTTGATAATAATTATAATAGACTACAACTTTAGCTTCCTAGATAATTTAATCTTTTTCATTAGCTTTCACTTGAAATCTTCCTCCACCATTACAACTCCAAGATAAACTGCACAAGTTACTTCAGCTTTCCGAAGAAAAAATATGTTACACTATTATAAATCACTAGGAAGTTTTCTTAGAGAAGAAGACAACTTTTTGAATGTTATTTAAAAATTAAATTAGAATTTTAAGCCTTTACTTTCTCATGGTGATTGAAATAAAGATATGCTCTGAAGAAAAAAAAAACTTAAATCAATTTTGGTGTTCTCATTGAGTTACAAACTTTGTTATTGTCCCTCTAGCACAATATAGATGCCATAAACTATGTTTAAGTAGACAAAAGAAATTACTTCCATTGAATGTTTTAAGTTGGATGAGACTTTTAAGTTCTCATGTTCTATCTTATGAGTGCATTTTAATTTAAATGTATTCTTAATCATAGCTTAAGAAAATTCATCTTCTCATGAGCTAAACAAAGTGCATTAATTTCTAAAGTAAAGGCGTATTTTATAAATTCATCCAAAATGTTCTTAGTTGAGGTCTTTAACCATTCTACTTGTATTAGTTTTTTAAACATATTCAATTGCATTGCAATTATATAGAGGCTTTTTTAGTACTGGAACACATGAGGTGATTGCAAATTGCTCAGCTTCCATTTCCAGGCACATTACTAGAAGAATCCATGTAACATAGTTTGCCCAAAACAGAAGCTTTCAGGAAGGCACTTGATGAAGAGCATGGAGACCCAAACTTCTGAAGGTTAAGTCAGACAAAGATAAATTTAATTAAGTATAAAAAAGTGGGGGTGTGAGATGGAGAAGAAAAGAAATTCTAATTTACACACAGTACTTTGTAGGATAAATGATCTGCTGAGATAAAATGCCAACTTTATAATTTTCATATTCATGGCAAATCCTCACTTTCAAAGCCTTCATTTTGAAAGACTGGGGAATCTGCCAGGCAAGAGGGAGGGGGTTATTTCTGGTATATGAGTGACAAAAATGAAGTGTCAGATTTCTGAACATATATCATCTTAAGAACAAAACCTATTGATTCCTTCAACAGTATGCTGAGCAGAGATGAGATCAGCATTCCACAGGGGAGAAATCTTCCATCGGGATATTTCTTACAGAAAGATCAGGCCCTTCTCTCTATCATGTCTCTTGAGAAAAATGTTCAAGATACTCTAGAAAAGGCGATGGAAAAATAATCCTAGAAAGGGGCTGGTTACTCATGGCCGCTGACCTAGAATGAGTCTTGAACCCAGATTAGGCCTAAAGAGAGCCAGAGATAAGTAATTATATTACGTGACACTCACTATGTGCTAAGGTACTGTTTTAGATGACATATAGATGGATAGATAATTAGAAGGTGGATAGATAGATAGATCCTTATTTAGTTTTACAATACAACACTCTTGAGAGAAGACAGGTAATCTTATTAAGATCCTCCTGCAGATCCCCATGGGGACCTGCATCTGCAAATCTTTGTTAACTAAATGACTGCATCAGTAAGCACGCAATCAGAGAAGCAGAACCAATAAGAAATATATATGTGTGTGTGTGTGTGTGTGTGTGTATAAAGTTGCCTTTAATAGACATTGGACCACACTCAATTGTGGAAACTGGTAAAGCAATTTCTATAAGAATATGGCCTTTGCATTGTGATGCTAGAATTTGAAGTCCATGAGTCAGGAAGTTGAGAAGAGATTATACATGTCGAGGGGGTGGGGGAGAATAAGAATAAATTGGAACCCACAGGCACAATTTGGAGCCCCAGGAGAATAAAGTAAAAAAACATGTGTCAGTTCTTGTTGCTTCTGATCTTAGGGGTGTAGGTATCCTGCAGAAGCTGGGCCCCTTTGCTGTGGAGCAAAACATGCACATCTGGCCCAGAGGTCAGAAAAGTTACAAGAGGATCCAGAAAAGGTGGAGCAGTTGCAGATCTAGCAGCTGTCTCTCACCAATGAGGTATATCAGCAGGTCCCTCACAATGTGCAGAAGCTGCTCAGTGACTACTGCTCCCCTCCTATTCTCCAAATCTCACACAGTAATGTCTTTTGTAGCTCCCCATAACTGGAAAAGGATCTCTGGGAACCATAGTTGACACCTTACACATATCCAAGGTGACACAAAGCTACCACAATGACATTTCTGACCAGGAAGGGTTACCCTGAAAAATCTCATTCTTAACCCCTCAAAACATTTAATTCACTATAGGGAAATTGCCTATTTAATTATCTTTCTATTTCTAGACTAGAATGCATTTGAGGGCAAATATGTGTGTCTATCAATGTTATATGTCTAATACTATAGAACTGTAGACATAATGGGCAATTTAGTAGCTATTTTGATAATAAATGAATAGGTGAATAAGAGGAAAAAATGACAGCAAAATGATTTCAGATAATACAAAATATTTTCAGATGGCTTAGGCTCAGGACTCTTAAGTACCTCACTCAGTTGAATATTTACAGACAAAAAGAATAAATGCATAAATAAAGGAAGCCAAAACTCGCCATTGAAGTTCACAAAAACTTAGTGCAGGCAAAAATAGTCACAGGAATAGCAGCCACGGTAAATGACCCCTAAGTCTTGTTTTATCAGTGAGATGTTGATAGCTCAGAGGCAGATATTGTGTCCATTCTCTTTTTTAATTATCTATTGTGCCTTGCTTTCGAAAGAGATGATTACTGATTGACAATCATGAAAGGAAACACATTCGCAGTTTGATGCTTTTGGTGTGATTTAGTGTTTTTCTCTCTCTCTCTGAGTTACATTTTCATTGTTTTGTAGTATGTTTGAATTCCTTATCTTGATAAACTACAATAAGACTTTCTATTTGGGTTTTAGCATTTCAAGGAGAGGTTGGCATACATTTTAATTGATTCTGTTATTTTTATCAAAGAAGAGTTGATGCCGATTAAAGGGTTTTCCTTTCCTTTAGTATTACCAGATCTCATATGGGGCATGGGTTCTACAGCTTTCGAGACTGTTCTTTTTAATTGAAGCAAAACTAAATTATTCTTTGCAATATCTTGAACCAAAAATGGAGATATCATTAGTTCCACACATGCAGTGGTATTATACTCCTGGAGACTACCAGCCATGCCTCTGACAGTCAATGTTGCCATCTTCATTAGCTAAATATAATGACCTTTAAAAAGAACGTTCAAATTTTTGGAGCAAGCTTAAATGTGATTCATCCAAAGATGTAGCAGACAATAAGGATGGGGTGTCTCTCTTACAAGCATTCATTGTAAGATTTTTGTTTTGCATCATTAGGAATTTTACTAGGCATTACTCTAGGTGGTGATTCTTCAATGTGTCCATATAAATGTGTGTGTGTGTGTGTGTGTGTGTGTGTGTGTGTGTGTGTTGCTAAAGCCTGAATATTTGTGTTCCCCTTAAATTCGGTGGTTGAAATGTAATCTCTAATGTAAGGGTGTGTGGAGTGGAGGCAGGGCATTTGGAAGGTGATTAGGTCACGACAATAGAGCCCTGTGGGACTAGGATCCCTCTTAAAGAGACCCCAGAGACCTCCCTCACCCCTTTAGCCATATGAGGACACTGTGAGAAGAAGTCCAGCTATCTATGAGCCAGGAGGTGGGCCCTTACCAGTCACTCAATCTGCCATTGCTTTGAGTTATTTCCATCCTCCAGAACTGTGAGAAATAATGTCTTTGGTTTATAAGCCACCCAGTTTATTTATTTATTTGTTATGGTGACCCAAACAGACTAATACACACACAAACACACACGCACAAACACACACACATTTGTCAACAGAACCTATGGTTTTCCCAGAAGAAAGTGGCTTTTCTTTACTTTTTTAAGTTTTTTCCCACAAAATCTATTGTTTTGTTTTGTTTTGTTTTGTTTTTGATGTTTTATTCACATTTCTGAATCACAATTTTGAGCAAAGGCTGGAAATTTAGTACACTGAAAAAAATATATAGGTATAACCCATGCCAGGAAGGAGGCTCCCAGTGGCTAAAAGGAGTGGACTTTCTTCAAAAGCCAGTCAGAACCACAGTGTGTAAAGCCCAGTTGCATCTGGAGTATAGTACTATGCTGCAATCTCAGGGCACTGCCATGGTTACATCATCAGTTGTCTACTGAGCACCTTGCTCATGCCAGGCAACGTGACAAGTGCTGAACGCAGAAGGCAGAGCTGGACGTCGAACATCTATGGAGCTTCCCAGGGCACATTATACACCTTGGTTCATCTTTGAAGTAACTATCATGATCTCAATTTAATACATGAAAGAATTAATGTCCTTAGAGGGTAAGTGACTTTCAAGAAAGCAGTGGAGTCAGGATTCCCACTCAAACCTATCTAAACTTAAAGCTGTTCTCCTTTGTAAATTATGCCACAGTTACCAAAGCCTAGTTAGAAAACCAACGTATGTGTAAGTTGTAGTGAGGTGGAGATCATTGTATTTACTGAGGTTTCTCTTAGGTTTTACTATACATTTTTAAAAGAAATACTTGGACAAACCCCTTGGGATAGTATATTACTAAGTAAAAAATTATATCCACCAAACCAATCTGTATGGTAAAATAAGAAGGATTTATTTTGCTCTTAGAATGTGGGGGTGGAGACTGAGAATACAGGAGTTGGAGGAAGCTAAAAAAGTAGTGGGGAAATGAATAAGATGGTGGAAAACTGCATTATGGATTGCACTCTCTCCCAATGATACACAAATGTTCAGTTGCAGAACCCATCAATGCTTGACATCAGTGAAATATTTATGAAAAAGTAGTTCAGGAATTTAAATGTCCAAATCCAAAGTGGAAATAAACATAAAAGTCATGTGTAGTGTCAAACATGGAGGCTGGGGGGCCAAGAGAAAGTAGATCTCCTAACTTGGTAGAGGTCATTGCAGAGGCTATAGACTTTCAAGGGCAGTGCAATTGGGACTTTTAACCAAGTTTAGTTTTATCTCCGAAGGACAAACTATAAAAGGACAACTTGGAATGCCATGTGATACAGCTTAAAGCACCTGAGTCCTAGATCTCTAGTGCAGTGAGTAGTCAGAGAAAAAGGTCATTACTATCTGCTGGGCTGAGAGAGATTTCTCAGCAGAGGTGGGCCTTGACCAAAGGTTGAGTGACAGGTGGTACTAACCTATGCAGAGAGGAAGGAGGCTTCCTTCCATGTAGATGGGGCAGAATGAGCAGAGCTGTTGGTGGAGGGTTGAATATGTATTTTCAGAGATATATTATGAAAAAACTTAAGTAAAAATTATTTAAACAAAAAAGGAGATTTATTGTCTCATGACATTGAAAAGTCCAGATGGCTTTTCTGACATTAGGCAAAGCTAGAAACAAGTTCATCAGTAATATCTCTCTCTTTCCATCTTTCAGCTTTCTTTTCTCCATATTAATTTAATTACTGAAGTCAAAATGTGTAACTTAGTAATTTAGCTTCAAAATATATTTTAAAACATTTTTTCTTGTCTCCTTTCTTCTCTCTCAAGATGTAACATTAAAACAAACAGTAGAAACCTTTTTCCTTAGTCTTAAAATATAGCCTTGAAAGATACTTTAAAACTCCCCTCCCTTCCTTTCCCACTGTGTACTCCTTTATCTCATGCACGTTTGCAAAATTCTAGAGATTACCTCATTTGCAAAATTCCAGAGATTACCTCAGGGTAGCCAGTCTACAACCCAGCCATTGCTGAGATGATACCAGCCTGCACTCCAGGGGGACCGTGGCTTGAGATAGCCACGAGAACAAGATACACAGAACTTATACTCAACATCCCTCCTGCATGCCTTCCATTCCAAGTTCCTTTTTTAAAAACTCCTCTTCCCAACCTAAAGTTTGAAGGGGTTTCTGGAAGCATAAGCTGGCTGCTTGCCCACTGCTAACTCTGGAAGTAAAGTCACCTTCCTTTCACTGCACTTTTTATTGGCTTTGCAAGTGTCAAGGAGCCAAGTCTGCGCTCTGTTAAAAAAGTGGTGGCAAAATGGTCTCCACTAATTCTAGGCCTAAAATTCTCTACATAGGTTAGCCCTCCAAAAGTGAAGACTCTGTTTTGCAAAGGTTTAAGAAATAGTCTTGGCCTGAACAAGGATCTTATTTTCCCAGCTTAAATCACATGCAAGGGGGATTGGAAATTTTCATTATGCAATAAAAAAAGGATTTAAATTGTGACACTGGCATTGAGACAAGATGGCAGGTGAAAGCTGGAAGAGACTCAAGAAGACTGTAGGTGAAGTCTGAAAGGATAACGAGCAAACTCTTACTTGAAGTTAGAAGAAAGAAGAATCTTGATATGTAGTGGCTGAAAGTTCAGCAAAACTGTCACCTCTCATAAAATAGAAAATATATTGAATGAACTTGATAATCTAGTTAAAGAAAGTGTTGAAGGTGCCACCTGCCTTCTTCAAGCTGCGTATAGTAAAGTTAGAAGAGGAGAGTTATGAGCTAAAGAATGAACCAATCGGTTGTCTGTCTAACGGAAACTGGAAGAAATGTTAAATGCTCAGAAAAGTCTGTTCAATCAGTAGAAGGTTCTCGAAGTAATAAGCAGCCTCAGGGCAAAGATCAAGTACAGACCTCAATTGTAAGATCCTTTGTTGAGACCTCAGAGCTAAGTCAGTGCTTTATAGACACTTCAGGCACATAAAAGGCACCCAAAGATTCTCAGGCGTGTTTCTAAGAGTCCTCTGTTAAACAATAGGGCTTCTAAGAACCTTAAGAGCATTTTTCCACAGAAAACTCATAGGGTGTTTAAGGTCAAGAAGGGATTATTTCTAAGAGAGTTGTAGGTTTGGCTTTGGCTTAATTGAGTGGATTATAAAATGATAAACAGGAAATTCGTAATCATTTAAAAATTGTATTGTAATGGTTTGTATTACAATACCAAAAATTGTATTGTAATATTATAGTTGTTTTTTCTTTTAAGTCCCAGTTTTGACAAACAGGAACACTATACAAAATGAAGAGAGGCTTTTGAGTTCCCAACTTTCCGTGGGCAGAAATCAGATGAGCTGGCCACAGTAGTCCTCCTTTATAGATGTGGAATTCTTTCCAAGACCCCCCAGTGGATGCCTGAAACCATGTGTAGTACTGATCCCGGTTGCTGTCTATTGGAACACATTTCAGTTCATGTCTTCCACCCACAAATTTAATGCCTTTTCCATCTTAACCAAGCATATATTACACACTCTAGCTGTAACTTTTGCGGTTTGAGGTGAAACAGCTAAATTAGAACACATTTCTTTCCTTCTTCACAATTTTATGGATAGAAGTTTCATTCTTACTGTAGTCCTTGGCAACCTCAGCATACAACTTTTTGCTTTTCCTTATTAAGTCAAGAACTTTCATTGTTTTACTTAAAGGAAGTACTTTACAGCTTCTCTTTGGCATATCCAAATTGCCAGTATCACTTCTCTAGTGCTTTGGAATTATTATTAAGTAAAATAAGGGTTACTTGCCAATAAGACAGCTGAGATGTCTACTAAGAGAATAACAGTCAGGTAGTGTAGATAGCATGCACAGGCTGGACAAAGGGATGATTCACACCCAGGAGGGATAGGGAAGAATGAAGCAGGATGGCATGAGATTTCATTATGCTACTAAGGAGGTCATGCAGTTTAAGATTTATGAATTGTTTCTTTCTGGAATTTTCCATTTAGTATTTTCAGACTACAGTTGATCGGGAGTAATGGAAATCACAGAAAATGGATATGTGGAGGAAGGGGTGACGACTGCACTCTGTTACAACTACAGACTATTTCTTATGAAAGATGACTTAGAAGGTAGAACCAAAAGTCATGGAGAATAATACCCAAGAAGTGAGAGTGAGCCCTAATCACAAAACTACCCACAGGTGTCCAGCTGAATTTCAGGTGATTTTACCCAGTGACTGCTGGCTGCCTCCCTTTTGCCCAATTTTTGAATGAAAGCTTTTGTAGCAGATATTCTACGTCTGTTTTGACATTATATGTTGTTATCCATGGGGTAAATTACTTGCTTTTTATAGAGCATGCTTCGTCAGATCTAGAGGAATCACAGTAGAGGAGCACACACAAGGAGTATCATACACACGGGAACTAACTTAAATGTTGATATGCTGGACCTTGAACCTGGCAATAAAATGAATGAGATTCAGTGTGGGTGGAGGGAAGGTAGGTGTCTCCAAAACAGTTGAGAGTATTTTAGATATGGGAGAGATATAAAGTTTGTTCTCAGAAGATGAATGGTTGCAGTTTAATTTTTTTTTAATAATTGTGATTTTTTTTTTTCTCTTGAGACAGAATCGAGTTCTGTCTCCTAGGCTGGAGTGCAGTGGAAAAATTACAGCTCACTCTAGTCACAGCCTCCTGAGCTCAAGCCTTCTACCTCATTCTCCTGATTGGCGGGGACCACGGGTACATGACACCACACCTGGCTAATTTTTTTTTTTTCTTATTTTTTATAGAGACAGGACTTCTCTATGTTACCCAGGCTGGTCTCAAACTCCTGGCCTCAGGTAATCTTCCAGCCTTGGACTTCCAAAGTGCTGGGATTACAGGCCTGAGCCCCTGTGCTTGGCCTATGGATTTTTGACATTACATTCACCAATATGATCACTCTTCTTTGAATCTACATGGGCAGATGACTTGCATGTAATCAGTACAATGAAACAGAAGAGACACTGCGTGGTTCCTAGGCCAATTGCAACTTCTACTTGATTTGCTGGAACACTTGTCTTTGGAGCCTTAAGCTGCCACATAAAAAGTCTAACTACGCTGAAACATGCATGCTTTGAAGAGAGGCCAAGCCACATGGACTCATCACATGTACACTTTAGGACTAGCAGTTTTAATCTTTCAGTCATTTCATCCAGGTGCCAAATGCACCAATGAATTATCCCTTCAAAGATTTTAACCTCCAGCCATTGAGTCACCCACAACTTTGAGACCCAGACATTATGAAAAGGACGTAAGCACCCCGCTGAATAATAGCAAAATTTCCAACTTGCAGAATCCACAAGCATAATAAAGTGGCTATTTTAAGCAACTAAGTTTTGGAGTAATTTGTCACACCATAATTTGACCTTTAAAATAAATTGATCTGTAATTCAGGACAAACTAAACAACATATATTCACCATCAGTGGACAATGATTATAATAATTTAAGTGAAACAAGTGTGATTTTTAAATTCATTTCTTTTTTATAATTGAAGTAGAGAATGTAATAATAAATAAGCCTAGACATTTCGGTTGAAACTATTACTTTTTGAGTGGAATTCACTTTATATAACATTTCAAAAGAGGGTATGGAAACACCTTCCTTGCTGACATTTCTCTTTATATTCCTCTTAGCAGGTTTTGCCATATTAAGCCTTAATTTCAACGTCCATACCAAGATTTATTTCCCACTTTCCAGAGTGTCTCAAGAAATGCTCAGGCACAGAACAATTGCTAGGCCCTTTGAGCATCACACACTTGCTGACAATGAATGCCACCCTTTGGAGATGTCCTTGGAAGAACTGAGATTTCAAATTGTGGTGTTTATTAACTTCATATTTACTTTAGTCAGAAGACAGGGCCTATAATTAAACCTTGAACTTTTACAGTAATGTGCTCCGTACCAGCCTGGACCTTGATCTGACGTTGATCAATCTTATTCTATGTTGCTGTGTGTCAGTATCAGTATAGAAGTTGCAGAGTGCTTTCTTACCTTCTAAAAAGCATGTTTCTTTGATTTTAGAAAAAAAAATGTTTCAAAGTAAGTGTGACATTGATAGTTTTATTATTTTTCTGAAGCATCACATCACAGAAATTGAGATGCTTCTCCAAGGTTAAACAGTTGGTTAGCTACTCATTCAGGACTACCACCCAAATTAGAGAATTTAAGAATTAATTTAACAGACACTTATAGACCACCTCTCCAGTGCTAGGTTCTGGGTTAGGCACCAGGGTTACAAAAACTGATAAGATGTTCCCCTTGTCCATGGGGAACTCAAAGCCTATTACAGAAAAGAGTCTTTGCAATTAGCCTGATAAATGATAAAACTGAGATCTGAACCAAGTGCAATGAGATTCCAGGGGAAGAAGCAAATGGAGCCAACAGGAAAAGCTGGTGTGTTTTATGCAGAGTCACTGAGTAGAAAAATGATATTATTGGCTATGACCCAAGTGGGAGCGGTGGGAACTTTAAATGTGTTCTATTCTCATGGAGGAGGATGGACAAGGACAACGAAGTACCCAGAATGTTGAAGGAATGTGGGGGAGATGGGGGTGGGGGCTTCAGTGTAATTGGACTAGGGCCCAATAAATGCAGGTAGGGACATGAACAGGTTAATAGCCAGTTGACCCTTTAGACAATTATGAATAAATTGATATTAATATAAATACACACACATACAAACACACACACACACAGGCATATTGATTTATTTTAAAAGTTCTGGCTTATTGTTAATTGGGATAAAGGTCAAGGAGGGGGATTGTTAAGCAGCTGCTTGGTTTAACTTATAGTGAAAAGTACGCCTCTACCCTGAATTCACCTCTAGCCAAACTTCATTCCTTGGTTACGCTCATCATAGATGGAATTATAGTGGCCAGAGGATGAAATTCAGGCTTGCATTTTGGATGTTTCAGCATAGACTCAAAGCAGCCCAGCAAAATATTACTTGGAACCAATGTAAAATTATTCTGAAATGAGCTGCTGTTAGTAAAATAGTTTTTTTTTTTTTAATAACAACTTAAGCCTTATTTTAGTGCTCTTTATAGATTAGTGTCCTGGACAGCTAGTTTCCCATGAGGCCTTTTCTGGTTGGAACATAGGGAGAAAAATGGAAAAATGGCAGGTGACAAGGCTGATGGTGAGTGGCCATGCATGTCAAGTTACAACATTTGGATTAAATTCTGCAGCTCATTGAAAAAAAAAAAGTGTGTTTATGTGTGCACACAGCCTGGCATCCCCTCCATCTGGCATTAGTTCTTGAATGCCTGGTGAACAATCCAACAATTTTTAGTTAGTGTATAACTTTAGGGATAGGTAAATCCAAGGAATACCCTACCACCCTATTTTAAAATTCTCCATTATAAATTCAGTGGTTTTCGTTTTCTTTCAGCTTCCTTCCTAACTGTAGGTCTGCCTCTCCGTTCTTCTTTCCTAGTTCCACCTTTTACCTCCAGTCTCCCTAATCTATGCTCAGGGCTTCTTTCATAATACTGTAGAGATTCCAAATTTATTTTGTCACCTGGAGACAAAGTAACCTTGCCTGCATTAGATCAATAAAGCCAAAATATAATATAATTTCTCAAAATATTCCTCTAGTGAAAGGAATCACTTGAGCCACTTAGAGTCCCTGCACCACAAGTTGTTCCAAATATCTTGGCAGATAAAGAAAAACAGACAACCTAGCACAGTATACACTCAACAGATGATCTGTAAATAGGTACTAATGGTTATGCTTCAAGACTAACATGGAAAAAGTGTGTCTTACCATAACTCTTTTCTTACAGTGATAAGTTAGGGGAACCTTAAGTTCTTCATCAGAGGAAGACTTCACTGAATGATATATCCCCATTAGATTTATTTTTTTCTACTGAATTCATTTTCCTCCTGTAAAGAAAATATGTAGTATTATTTCATTCTACCAAGAAATTGAGCACACAATTTCAGGAGTCAATTGTGGATTTGAGAACAGAAAGTAACTCAAAAATTTTTACCCTAGTTACTTCCTGAAACTAGAAGCCAACAGTGTATACACAAATGGATTAGCGTATTTCAGCAATACAAAATGCATACCTGCAGGCAATGATTGTGTGGAACTTGTTTCATAGTTTTGACGAGGCCAGGTATTTTTTTGGTGCAGAATAGCACTTGTAGCCATTCCACGTATGTCAGCTAAAAGAGTAATTCAGGTCTCAGTGAATAAAACTATTGTCTTGAAAAAACAGAAGTATTCTTTTCACCCGTGGTACACTATTACATAATGTTCTGACTGGGGACAAAATTGTTAGATTACCTAAGGCTGCTTTCAAATCCAAATAGGTCACAACTAAGACTTCAGGAAACCTGGGAAGTATCTCTCTTGTTCCTCTCTGGAAAGCACTTTTAAAAATGTTTACTTTAATGATTTCCAACTTGCTTTTAGCCACAGACATATTTTTTCTCTTTAAATCAATCTTGGACAATTACTTCAATACAGATGATACAGGGAAGCCAAGTGCTTTGATCGTCGCTCCTCCAGTTTCTAAAAAAATGTAAAATTGAAAGGTCACTTAACTTCTTTGAGCCTCACTTATTTTAACTCTTTGAATCAGAACAATCAATCATACCTGCCTTACTTTACAGGATGGTTGTAAAAAATTAAGCCAGTAATTTATGTGAAAATACCTCGAAAATTTAAAACATCATATGTAACTAAGATATTATTAAAGCATGAAGATGCAAGCACTTGAGGCAGCACATATGTAAGATTACAAATGGTCTTTTAAACCAAGAACGTTCTACAAATGGAGGGAAGGACATTTTCTTGGTCATTTATATAATTCCTCTTCTCTAGATAGCCTTTATTTCTCCAGGATTAGGACTTAGTGTCTTTGGAGTTTGGGATAAGGATACATGCTTTTTGCCGTGTGTGGGACAGGGGAGGGCTGTACGTTTGCCATCCCTGACCTATATTTTCTTCTTTCCTTTGACCCTTTATTCTTTGTGCTTTTTTCTAAGTTCTCCATTTTTGTTCCTCAGTGCTAGGACCCATACCATTTATTAGGATGCCTAGGGTACGCCATTTATAATTGTGCAGTAAGGCTGGGATTCGTGCACTAGGAATTGCATGAGGACAGTCTGTGTTTTAGTATTCAGAGTCTTGCTGCTGTGAATTCTGACTAGTCTGCCGGCTCTTCAGTGTCGTCTTCTTCTTAGCACACTCTCTCCTTTCAATTACACCAGAGTAAATAATCACCTAAGGTAATTGGTGATTACCTTCATTGGAATCCATATCACTGAGGACTGAAAATTTTACTAATATATATTATAGATGCCTGTTTCCTCCTTCTAGCCCATTTTGGATAGAAAACCAAGTGCTCTATGTCAGAAGAGGAAAGGTATTCCGAATATATTATTTTCAGTAGACCAGTGAAATAAGAACATCAGTGGAGTTTGTGCAGGAACAGTGGCTGAAACTCCTGTACCATGACATAGCTGCCTAGTTTCAAACCTGACCTACCTTCTTGGCCATGGAACAGGAGGATGAGATGCTCAGTCTCAAAGGTTTTCTCTAGATGGTATCAGGAAACCAATCCTCCACGCCCCAGAGGCAGCCCTGGTGCCTCTCGATATCCCATATTTATGTCTTGCCACAAATTCAAGGATCCCTGATATATTTGCAAATATTCTGCAGCTTATAGCAATAATCCAAATTATGCCAAGGGAGAGGAGATGATAACAGCATTTTTATGTCTTCATCTTGCTTTTCTAATTGTGATGGCTCATGAAGATACTAGCCTTAAGTCTGTCTTAGAATCAGCAGAAAACAACCGTTTTCCATTCTGAAGCAGGCACAATGACTGATTGGAGTCGGTATAAAACTCCCCTTATGCTTTATGATGTGTGGATTAATGAAAGTATTAAACCATTCTAATGATAGATAAGGAAACTATTTCCACTGTATCTGAGAGAAATAAAACCACTTCATCTTAAATTAAAGAGTTCTAAAACTTTGCAAGCTCATCAAAAGAGCATGGGAAACAAAGACGTACAAGTTTATAACCCAGAGCACTTTAATTTCTCAACATCTATCATTTTTCTGCTACATTACTGTTGGAGTGCTTTTCAAAAGCTTCTGGGAAAACAAATTTTTTCAGAAAAAATAATAAATATGGGTCAGGCTAGTATCTTTTTAAAAATAGAGAATAAGGGATTTCCCTCATTTTGTTAGCATGCAGCACTGTTCATTTTATTTCACTGACACTGTTGCCTTTTAGCAGTTGTGTCCTAAGCTTGAATGGCATGATTTACTACTCAAATATGAAATCCGGACTTGGGCAAATCCCAAGCAATATTATGCTTGTGAATGTTACTGTTTGTGTGCATACTCCCTTAAACTGGTAAGATTTGGTCAAGTTTTATTCATAGAGTCAGCATAGGCTTGTTGCAAAAAATAAGAAGAGAAAGAGTGATGCCAGAATATACGTATCAAGAACCTCCTGTGCACTACTTTTTCTTCCCAGCCCTTTATCTGATTTCAGTCATAGTTGTGGTCCCCAGTTCAACAAGACTTTGTGCAGATTTGTTCGAGTTCTTCCCCAGGCCCTGGGCCTCTTACCACTTGCTTAATGCAGTTGTGGCCTGGGATACTGACAATAACTTATTTGACCTCATGAACACACAACACAAAAGTTCAGTGAATCAATGGTTGGAGGTTACTCTTGACCAATGAGCCAGGGGCTTAAAAATGCATGCTTTCACCTTTCATTCCCTGAGAAGGGAATGTTGAGACTCATAAGTTCCCCAGAATGTGCCTGAAGATCAGCCTACCTAACAATGGCCAAATCAACACTTTGCTCCTGTATTGGCTTCACTTTTTTCCTCTTCATTTTCCCATCCCCTTACACCTGCTCTGTGAAATTTCATTCATAAATAAACTACCTTCTCATAAGGCTTTCTCTTATGATAAGCGTTAAGGGGAACCCATACCAAGATAACATTTATGTTGCCCTTATCAGGGATGTTAATTATATGTCACTTGTGCTGATGTTCACTCCGCTGTCACTCACCACTAATCAACCATGGAACTATTTTGCACTCAGCCAAGGAATGGCCTCACAGACCCTTTCAGTATAAGGTCCAGGTAGATTCATTGCTTGTTTTAATTTGGCACATATTCACCATCCTTGCCTACCTTTCCCTATTCTTGTTCCAGAGGGGATCCAGGATCAACATGGATCACTGTTTCTGCTTTGGAAATCAGCTGCTTTCCATAAACGCATGAAAAACTTAGGCCTCTGACACCCACCATGCTGTCTTTTCATGTGTTTCAACTTGGACGCTGGGCAGAGGCGAGGCTGCAACTTAGCTTAGCTGGTATTTCAAATTCAAATTTCTGTCTCACAAAGTATCAATCACTATTGGATTTTTAAATCCATTGATAATAGTTGAAACCTCCCTTTCTTTGTTTTAAGTTCAGGGGTACATGTGAAGGTTTGCTACATAAATACATTTGTGTCATGGGCATTCGTTGTACAGATTATTTCATCACCCATCTATTAAGCCTAGTACCTGTTAGTCATTTTTTTTGATCCTCTCCCTCCTCCCACACTCCTCCCCATGTCAACTCTGAAAATGATATGTTTCTGCCATTAAAAAAAAATTCCCCAAGAGCATTTGTTCCCTGACCTAGAATAAGGTCCACCTCTATACTTCTGCTCTCCCAAAGGACCTGAATTTTTGAGTCTAGACTTTATCTTCAATGCCTGGTAACTTTTCTCCAACTGATTGAATTAATATCCCAAAGTTTTCAGTCTGTGTTTGACCAAATTAAACCTCTGAGAAGCCAAATCATGTCTCAATTTTTTTGCTTTGTTTTTTATTTCATTCCTGAAGCCCTGGAATAGTATCCTTTAACTCAAGGACACAAAATGTGTTGCCAGAAATAAGAGTAAGAAAAATATGACAGTATGAAAGTTCTGATAATGTTTTCTCTCTAGTGATTTCAAAGCAATGTGAAGGTGAGGTATATCTCTGGTTAATCACTGGATCTCCTCAATATCATTGCACATGAAAGATTTAACATAAGTAACTGTTGAAATGGAAAAAGGTACACTGGCTAGAGAAAAGGCAACAACCATGAAGGTTGTAGATTTTGTGAAAACGTGAAATGAAGAATTTCAGGCAGCAGGAAGAGAGTGGTTCCTTGACCTAAAATTATGTAAGCATTTGTAAACTCCCAAAACAGGCACTGGAGATTGTGTTAACAAAGAACCTGAAGGAAAAAACATTTGTCCCACACTCTATGCATGAGTGGAGATATGTGCTCCATGAGATATCACTGTTACTCAAACTTCCCATTTCCTAGTCCATCCACTTGTTTATTCTAGCCATTGCTGCAGCAACCAGTTGCATGTAGTTATAAGTTGTTAGTGCCTCCTCTGAGTTGCTTGTTTCTACCCCAAAATATGTCTGCCAACTCTGAATTGGATACCTGTTCAAAACCACCCAAACATTTTGATGCATGCACAAATCTGGACATAGAAGAGATTTAACACTCCAGTGAGAAAAAATGATCAATGAGAAATAGAGCAAGGGGATAATAGCCCCTGTCTGCACCTTGGGTGGAAAATTCCTATCTTTATTTTAAATGACACTGCAGAGGATCTATAGTGGGGTTAAGTTACAGTTGTGATAAACTCAATAACTCATCCTTGAATTCGCTTGCCTTCTTTCAATTTTTCACTCTTGGAAATCCTCATCTTTAATTCCTTGCTGTCACTTCCCCAAGATACTAACTGCTTGCAAGTCCTTACCTCAGGCTCTTCTTTTAAGACGAGCCAGATATCAGAGTGTTTAAATGGAAAGTACCCTAAAAAGCAAAGCTTTGGGTCTGGGTTATGAAATTGGACTACTCATAGTTCAACAACGATGTCTCCCAAAACTAGTGGTAAGTAGAATGGTGACAGCACCTGACATAAAAGCATCATGATCGCCAGGATTGTCACTGGTAGTAAATTGAGATGGGATGAAGGGGACACATCAGCTTATATTGAATGCTGATATTAAAACCATATGCAAGCAATTAAAGTATAAATGGTATAAAGTTGATTGGCAGCTTTAGAAGATATGAGAAATGAATATCACACACACAAAGCTAGCTAGCTATTCACTGAAGGCATAACATGGGAGCTAGAATGACTCCAGGGAAGCATCTAAATAGATCCTTCGCTCCTGAAGCAACAGGGTGACTGTGCTAAATATTGCACTTAGGATCTAACTGTAAAACTAGTGTAGCTACAAAGTTGAGTAAATGGAAAGGCTCAATAAATTTGTTAGGATACAATCAGAATTATAGGAAGACACAAGTGAGATCTTGAGTGTTGAGCTGGGGATATTTGAATAGATAAGCATAAGTGAAGTAAATGCCTATGGTTTTAGTTCATTTTATGTGGCTATAAAGGAATACAGAGGCTAGGTAACTTATGAAGAAAAATCACTTACTTGGCTCATGATTCTGTGCTAGAAAGTGCAAAATTGGGCATCTTCATCTGGTGAGGGTGTCGGGCTGTTTCTACTCATGATGAAAGGCAAAAGGGAGCCAGTGTGTGAAGAGATCACATGGTGAGAGAGGGGGCAAGAGAGACAGAGGGGACGGTGCCAAGCTCTTTAACAGCCAGCTTTTGTAGGAATGAAGGGAGTGAGAACTCTCTCACTCCCAAGAGAGGTCAGTAATCTATTCATGAGGGATCCTTCTCAGTGACCCAAACACTTGCCATTAGGCACCCTCCTCTAACACACAGAATCAAGTTTCAACAGGTTTGAAAGGACAAACATCCAAACCATAGCACCCATATTTCCCTAATCCCACACAGCCAGAAGTAGCAGCAACCTTCTCCTTACAAGAAGTGGCCTTGAGATGTGGTCAATACTTCCCCTAAGTCAGATACCTAACAAATAGATGCCTGCCTTTCTCAATATTCCTCAGCTTCCCTCTTGCATCCATACTAGTAAATATGAGCACATTACAGCATCATCCAAGTAGAGAAATACAATGCATACTGTAGAAGAAAGTAGTATACACTCCTCCACCTCCTGCAATATTGCAATATTTGGCTATTATTTACTGGAAGAAATCAGAGAACCACTTGTCAGAATGAACCTAAGGGTGCTTGACCAATGAAGCTGAATATAATGCTGAGTAGGGGATGGACATAAGAGCTGGTGAATAGAAGGCTGGCTGAAAAATCATGACTTCTCACTGAGTTTCAAATGTAATCCAGTTCTCATTGATTGAAGAGGAGGCTGTGTCTGCTTTAGGAAGGACTCTGCAATACCACTGCTTATATGGATGATATTTAATATCCCATTACTTTTCCACAGGGGCCTGTGGTGACTTATGAGAAAAACTGTATTCCAGAGAAAGGAGCCTGCCTATCATTACCAATGGTTATTGGTAGAGTGTCTGAATTAGGATTGATATCAGTCAGTGCTCTGGAATAGGCATAGTAGCACCTAGAATGTGGACTACTGGTAGGCAGATTTTAAGTGGAGTACTGACCCAAGTTAATCTCATACTAAGTTCCATAGGTAAATGACTCATCCCAGAACCTTTATTTGTAATTGGGATATAGAGTTTGGCAGAACTCTGCCGTTGGTATCTTAACCTGTGAAATAAAAGCCAGTTCCCCTACTCCTGTTACATGGGATTACTGCCCAAAGAAACTACCTGTACACAAACTCTCGTTTTAGGTTATGTTTTCTGAGAGAGCTCTAATCTAAGTCCAGTGCCTTAATGCACTGTAGAAGTCAAGATTCATTTCTAGGTCTTCTGTTAGAAATGTGGAAGAAAAAAAAAATCACTTCCAAACTTGACACTTTTTTTTTTTTTTAATTTTTTT
Source organism: Homo sapiens (assembly GCF_000001405.40). Taxonomy (NCBI): domain Eukaryota; kingdom Metazoa; phylum Chordata; class Mammalia; order Primates; family Hominidae; genus Homo; species Homo sapiens. The sequence continues at coordinate 107,506,073 of NC_000010.11, read as the reverse complement.
TTTTTATTATACTCTAAGTTTTAGGGTACATGTGCACATTGTGCAGGTTAGTTACATATGTATACATGTGCTATGCTGGTGCGCTGCACCCACTAACGTGTCATCTAGCATTAGGTATATCTCCCAATGCTATCCCTCCCCACTCCCCCGACCCCACCACAGTCCCCAGAGTGTGATATTCCCCTTCCTGTGTCCATGTGATCTCATTGTTCAATTCCCACCTATGAGTGAGAATATGCGGTGTTTGGTTTTTTGTTCTTGCGATAGTTTACTGAGAATGATGGTTTCCAATTTCATCCATGTCCCTACAAAGGACATGAACTCATCATTTTTTATGGCTGCATATTTGCTGTACACCTGTAGCTGCAATGGGCCACCATGCATGTGAACCTGCTTTGAAATAAAGCCATCACAAAATAAACGTAGAAGAGAAATATGAAAAGAATTATAATTACTTGTTGAGTTACTAATAAAACTATTTGAACCATGGATCAATTTTTTATTTTATTAATTAATATGGCCAATATATTACCTTATATGCAAAAGCCAATTTGGGTTATATTTCTACCAGAAATATATGCCTATCAGAAACCCAGACACTTATTTCTGAGTGTCCTGAGGCCCTGGTAACATGTACTTATCAACCTATGGTTGCTGAACTTGCCTATTTAAGGTTACAATAGAGCAAGAAAGTTGCTGGGGCATTAATATGCCCCAGCATATTAATGGTCAAACACAGTCTTTTTTCATGTCCTTATAATGAAGCAGCACCCTACCTTTTGATAATCAGCATAAAAGACCCCTGCATCTATGAAAACTTTTTTTCTTTGCATGCTGAGCCACCAGCATACAGAGGCAAAAGTGACTGAGTAAGTGCCCCTGCAGCTGCCTGGGGTTTAGGTGTATTCTGGAAAGCAGGACCGCTAGTTGAAAACCTGGATAGTCATAGAACATGTTGGTCAACCTAATCATGGTGAAGGTATTCCCTCATCAGGAAGAAAAATCTCTGTATCCAAAAAAGCACAATGCATGAATGTCCCAAGTAATTTGCTAAGAGTGTTGAAAGCAGGCCTACACCTATCTTTACCCCATAGATGTCAGACTCATATATTCTATCTATTGAGACCACAACACCATAGAATGAATATTGGTTTTTTAAGTTTTGTTTTGTTTTGTTTGTTTTTGAGGCAGTCTTGCTCTGTCACCCAGGCTGGAGTGCAGTGGTGCGATCTCAGATCACTGCAACCTCCACCTCCCAGGTTCAGGCAATTCTTGTGCCTCAGCCTCCCAAGTTGCTGGAATTACAGGTGTGCACCACTATGCCTGGCTAATTTTTATATTTAGGAGAGAAGGGGTTTCACCATTTTTCCCAGGCTGGTCTCAAACTCCTGACTTCAGGTGATCCGCCTGCCTCAGCTTCCCAAAGTGCTGGGATTACAGGCATGAGCCACCATGCCTGGCCAGCTTTTTAGGTTTAAAAGTATTGCCCAACACTCAGAGAATGTCAATTCAAGCAGTGCCTCAACTGTGCATTCAAGAGGCAACAGTTACTACAGCTTGCTTCACTAATCCTGGTGTATTAGGTCTTTTGAAGAAATTAATGGTTTGTCACAACCTAAGAGTTGATTTGGGTGCTGTTAAAGGCATTCAGTTTTCAAAGGGAATCAGAGCATTAAAGTTTGGAAAATTTGCAGCCTGGTAATGTGATAGAAAAGAAAATCTCATTTTCTGAGGAGAAATTCAAGCCAGCAGAAGAAATTTGCATAATTAATGAGGAGTCAAATATTAATTGCCAAGACAATGGGGAATATGTCTCCAGGGCATGTAAGAGACCTTTGAAGCAACCTGTCCCATTACAGGCCCAGAGGTTTAGGAGGAAAAAATGGTTTCATGGGCCAGGCTTAGGGTCCTTCTGCTGTGTGCCAAGCCTTGGCAACTTCCACATGGTGTTGAGCCTGCGGGTACACAGAAGTCAAGAATTGAGGTTTGGGAACCTCCACCTAGATTTCAGAGGATTTATGGAAATGCCTGGATGCCCAGGCAGGAGTTTGCTGCAGGGGTGGGGTCTCATGGAGAACCTCTGCTAGGGCAGTGTGGAAGGGAAATGTGGGCTAGGAGCCACCACACAGAGTCCCTACTGAGGCACCACCTAGTGGAGCTGTGAGGAGAGGGCCACTGTCCTCTGGACCCTAGAATGGTAGATCCACTGACAGCTTGCACTGTGCACCTGGAAAAGCCACAGACACTCAATGCCAGCCCATGAAAGCAGCCAGGAGTGGGGCTACAACCTGCAAAGCCACAGGGGTGGAGCTGCCCAAGACCATGGGAACCCAACTCTTGCATCAGCAAGACCTGGATGTAAGACATGGAGTCAAAAGGAGGTCATTTTTGAGCTTTAAGATTTGACTCTCCTGCTGGATTTTGGACTTGCATGGGGCCTGTAGCCCCGTTATTTTGGCCAATTTCTCCCATTTGGAATGGTTATATTTACCCAATGCCTGTACCCTTATGGTATCTAGGAAGTAACTAACTTGCTTTTGATTTTACAGGCTCATAGGCCTTGTCTCAGATGAGACATTGGACTGTGGATTTGATTGGTTTTGAAATGTGAAGACATGACATTTGGGAGGGGCCAGGAGCATAATGATATGGTTTGTCTGTGTCCCCACCCAAATCACATCTTGAATTCCCATGTGTTATGGGAGGGACCCAGTGGGAGGTAATTGAATCATGGGGGCAGGTCTTTCCTGTGCTGTTCTCGTGATAGTGAATAAGTCTCATGAGATCTGATGGTACTGTAAGGGGAGTTTCCCTGCACAAGCTCTCTCTCTTTGCCTGCTGCCACCCACGTAAGATGTGACTTGCTCTTCCTTGCCTTCCCTTATGATTGTGAGGCCTCCCCAGCCATGTGGAACTGTAAGTCCATTAAAGCTCTTTCTTTTGTAAACTGCCCAGTCTTGGGTATGTCTTTATCAGCAACATGAAAACAGACTAATACGAGAGTATTTTAATGGATTGGACTCAATGAGTGCACAGGTGGATCTGAGTAGAGTGATGAATGGAATATATCAGATGCTTCCTGTTCTCTGCAGAGAAGAACCCTGCAGGAACCTACTCAGCCATTTCTGATGTCTGTGCAAGTCTGGAAGTGGAAAGAATTTAGAACTTTATGGGGCAATCATGATGCACAGGAAGAGAAAACAATAGATGAATATTCTCCTTTTCCATTTCTCACATGCACAATACTGAAGGTCATTCTACATGGTTTCTCATAAAATCCCTTATGGGATCCACCCTCATTTGCTTATAGTGGTGATAAACTTGGCAATTACATGGTCTGATTTGCCTCCCCTCCTTCCTTGTTTCACTTTCCACCCCGTTCCTTGGAATTAATTCCCAGAATAAACTACCTGTATATAAGCCTTGATTTAGGCTATAATTCATGGGTTGTAGTGTGAGTTAGGGGGCAAGGGGGTTGTATAGCCTAAGAACAATGTTTTGATACTTTGTATAAGTCAGAACACTTGCTTAGCAGTGACAGAAATCTAACCCAGACACATTTAAACACACAATATGACTCATTAGCCAACTTAGCTAGTAAGTCTAGGCAAGTGTGGATTCAGGAACTCAGACAATTGTATTAGTAATTGGCCATGTTGCATCTTTCTGATCTAGTTGCTTTCTGTTGTGGCTTCATTTTGAATCCAGTTCCTGTGTATGATGGCCCTGTGCAGCTACAGACTTATAGCAAAAGAGCTTAAAGTTCAGCAGAAAAAAAAAATTGTTTTGTTTTTTGTTTCCCAGCAATTCTACCCCCCAACCCCAAAAATGGAATTGGATTGTATTGTCTCATTGTCTTTAATAGGAGTGGGTTGTGTCTACCTTAGAAAAAAAATCATATCTGGTATGATGTGATTCTCTGAACCATTCATGAGGTTCATTTCAATCCCTGGAGCTGAGGGAAGGACACCACACCCTCATCTCACCAACGTAATTTGAGTATAGGAAAACAGAGGTTCACCAACACAAAACAGGAGGAAACACCATTAAAAGAGGAATAGATGTCAGGCAGGCAAAAATAGAGTCTACTACATACTTCAGCTCTCTCAATCTTGTGCTCAAGCCCCTTTTCATACAGAAAATTTGTGAGCACGTGTGCTTCCTCTGCCCTAATCTGGACCCTACACAAAATTCACAGCCCTCCTGCTAGGACTCCACTTCTCTTCCACTGTTCTTCTTGGTGAACAGCCATCCCTTTGCAAATCCTCCATTTGTTTTCATATTTGCCTCTGTGCTTGGGGTGTGCTGAGCAGCTTCTCTAAGTTCTGCTGACACGTCTCCAGTGCCCTCTGTGAGCTTCTCCATGTCTTTTCAGGTCCATTGTTCAGGGAAAGTCACTTGCTTCATCCATATCCTTTAACACCATTTGCTTTTGTGTGCACATGGCCATTCAAGCAGCAAGGGAGGCCCACCCAGGTCATCAGAACCTCACTGATGCATTTTGTCAAGTACCAGGGAGTCTCCATAATAGAGAGGCAGGCTGAAGAACTTCGGCTGCTCAATCCATCATGGAAGTAACAGGTCATATCCAGTGGGGTGACACTGAGGAGAGAGGGAAGTGACAGACCGCTGAAAGTATGTAGCAGAGATTTTGGCTTGATTTTTTATATTTACTGCACAAGGTTGAGACTTGAAAATGGATCAGATTTTCAAGATCTCATACAATAATTCTACCTTAAATTTTATGGAAAGATGCAGTCCCTGTCCACTCTGTTGCTTGCCAGCTGTGCATTGGGAAAAACTGATATTTTCCTGACTCAACCAGGAAATCCTGTGAAAGGAACTGAAAAATATTGCCTCAAAAATACTATTATGTTGCCCATGTTTAAGACTGAATGCAGAGTCTACAGTGAAATGTTCAATTCCTACATGGCCTAATTAGCCTCGCTCCCTGGCCTTGGGCTGCAACTTAAATCCTTACCAGTCATTTCATAAAGTAGCATTACTTTGTCACAATATGAATAAGTGAAAAGAGCATATTTAGGTTAGTGTATAAGGACTTACCCTACTAGAAAAAAGGACTTGAGGTTTTTAATTTATTTATGGTGAGTTCAGGAATGTCATTTTCATACTTCATCTAGAAGTAGAGCATGATTCATGCATAGGCAGGTAGCAAGGCGCTTTAGAGGCTTGGCCAGAAGCCCCCATCCCTTTTGCAGCTACAGTAAGATGTATTCCAAAAAGCCTAAAAGGGTTTATCCTGGCTTCCTCTTTAGCTCCACTTAGGACCTTTATTAAGTGGCCCTATCAGAAGAATTATGCCACCTTTGTCCAGAGATCCAAATAATTTCTGTGTATCTGAAAACACTTATCTTCCAAAATTGGATTATGTTACCTATTGACATAAGAATTAAATCTGATCAGTGTATTCTCACCTAAGTTTTTTTTTTTCCTGGATTCGTATTGCCTAAAGACAACATTCCAAATTCTTGACATGCCATATTTAAAATTATACATTTTCACTTGGCATGGTAGTTAACATCTGTAATCCCAGCACTTTGGGAAGCCAAGGCAGGCAGATCACTTGAGCTCAGGAGTTCAAGACCAGCCCGGGCAACACAGCAACACCCCATCTCTACAAAAACAAAATACAAAAAATTAGCCAGGCATGATGGTGTGTGCCTGTTTTTTCAGCTACTCAGGAGGCTGAAGTGGGAGGATCACTTGAGCCTGGGAGCTCAAGGCCACAATGAGACAAGATCATGCCACTGCACTCCAGACTGGGCACCAGAGCAAGACCCTGTCTTAAAAAAAATTATACAGTTTCCTTCCAATCTGACATTCCATCCATAGCTACAATTACATTCTGGCCACTTCCCAAATAAACTATGTTCCTTGATAAATTGTTTTTACTTCAGTCTGAAATAACTTTCTCTGTTGATAACCTATGTATATATTCAATCCAATCAAAATGTTACTTTTCCAGGTGGCCTTTCTAAATCCGTGGGCACATACTAGTCCCTTTCTTCTCAAGAAAGGGAGAGGATGTGCCTCTCAAGAAAGGGGTCCTATGTAATTTTTTATTATTACTATTATTATTATCACTAGTACCAGACCTAGCTTTTGTCACCACACTTTATACAAATGGCTTGTAGTAAATTTTGCTTTGTTTATTTAATGCATAAATGCATAAATAAATAAAAAATTATAAGTTACAGTTACATGTTGTTAGTATTCTTTCTTCTATTACAATGACTTTTCTTTCATTTCTTTTTGTTTTTACTTCTTCCTTTCTTCTTTCTTTTACATTTAGTTTTTGTTCTCCAATTTAATGTATTCATTCTTATTTCATGTATAGTTAACCAGATATATGGCGCTAAAGAAAACAAATAGTAAAATCCATGTCCTCATAGCATATTCACTTTAGTAGCATGAGTGCGTTCAATGTGGATATGAACTATGGGGGAAAGTAAATAGAGAAGACTGACAGGGAATGATTTTAGATAATGTGGTTAAGAAAGGTTTCCCAAAGATATTTATGTTTGAGCAAATTATTGAAAGAGGTAGAGGAGAAACCTACATCTATCTGGGAGATAAGCAAGGGCCAGAGGCAACAACCTGTCTGTTGTGTTGTGGAAAAGCAGCCACAAGGCAGCCAGTGGGACTGGGAGAGTGTAAGCATAGAGCCTCATCTGATGCAGACAGTCACAGATGCCTCCCCCTAGATTTCCCTGGTAGAAATATGATATATAATTTAGTCACTTAGCTATTGCTGTACAACAAGGCATCCCAAAACTAGTGGCTGAACACAACAGCTATTAATTATTTCACATAAGTCTCATGATTTGAGCAGTTATGCAGGTCCAGGCCAGGTTTGGCAAGTATCAGCTGGGCTCACTCATGTGTTGGCAGTCTGCAGACAAATCAGTTAAGGGCTGAGAAATCTTGGATGGCCCCTAATAACATATCTTGGCTCTGATCTGAGTAATCTTTCATCCTTCAGTAGAGTAGTTTTTTGTTTTTTTTGTTGTTGTTGTTGTTCACATGGTGGAGGCAGATATCCAAGAGAAAGAGCAGAAGCATGCATGGCTTCTAGACCTGACACACTGTTGTTTCTGTCATATTCTAGGGGCTGGAAAAAGTCATAAGACCAGCAAGGATTAAAGGTGGGGGCATAGAATCCACTGCTTAATGAGAGTACCTCCAAAGTCACATTGCAGAGGGCATAGATACAGAGACAAGTAGACAATTTGCACTATGTTGGCAATAGATCTACCACAGTTTACTCTCTGGCCACAATTATTCACATCCTCACACAAGAAAAATGCACCCACCCATGCTCAAAAACTCTAAAGTCTAATCCAATCATGCATCCCACTCAAAATTCAGCATCAATTGGTCTACTTCACCTCAAATAAGGCATCTCTTAATTTGAAGAGCTATGAATCAAAAAGATATACTTTATCCCACCTATCCCTGATATAAAATATGAAACAGTGAATAGGAACAGAATAGCTACAGTAGACACTCCCATTCAAGAAGGGGAAGAAGATGAGAGCTGTAGCAGTTCCTAGTCCACAGCAATTCCAAAAATTATATTGGGCAGAAGTTGCTTGTCTCTTGGGATTGAAGTGTTGCTTGGTCGGGCCCCAAAGACTTCTGAGACGTTCTTCTTAATCTGCTCTTTTGGTGTCTTATGAAGCAGATATTGGAAAATATATCCTTTGAGCCATTTTTTCAACCCATTTCCAGCCCATAGTAATTTCAAGACCAAGAAGCTTTTTAAAATTATAGTCAAGGATGGCATAATCTTTGGCTTTATAGTCCCTTTAAAATTAGGGAAATTTCTATGGATTTGACATAAGTTCACTCAATTCAATACATAAATTCAATTCAAGTTCAATATATGCCACTTCCATACTTATTTCTGAGACAAGCATTTATGTTTAGTCTTAATACCACCTCAAATGTAACAGATTGTTGTGGAAAAATTTCTTAAAAATTCTTAGAAATCATTTTATCCAGATAAAGAGGTGTATTCATCAGGATTCCCCAGAGAAACATTACTAATAGGATGATTATATAAATACATATGATTATATATAATATATATGTTATATATTATATATTATATTATATATCATAATATATAATATATATATCATAATATAATATATATCATGATCATGATATAGATCATATAATATATATGATTATATGTATATACACATATGTATGTATGCATGTACATATATATATAAAGGATGCATTTTGTACATATATATATAAAGAGATGCATTTTAATAAATTGGTTCATGTGATTATGGAGGCTGATGAGCCCCATATCTTCAGAGGGCCAGCAGGGTAGAAACTCAGGAGAGGGCTGATTTTGCATTCAAGCCCAAAAGCCATCTGCGGCAGAATTCATTCTTGCTTAGGGGAGGTCACTGTTTTGTTCTAGTCAAATTTCAACCGATTGAATGAGGCCCAGCCACATTATGGAGGGCAATCTGCTTTACTAAAAGGCCACTAATTTAAATATTAATCTCTTTCAAAAATACCTATGCTGAAACATTCAGAACAACATTGACCACACATATGACCACTTGGCCCAGCCAAGTTGACATATAAAATTAACCATCACAAGGGGTCCATTAGATGCTATTTTAATTCTTTAAGTCTTAACAAACAACTCAACAGCCATACCCTTAATTTAATCTGCCCCCCCTCACCCAGGTTTCATTTCACTTTGAAATATCTTTTATCAAGTAGAAAAGTGGGAGATGACAATAGTTTTATTTCTAAAGCCTTCTTGGCTCCTGTATTATTTCCTCTACATTCCGTTTGCAAACTGGGTAATTTCATTAGCTCATCTTCCCGTAGTTTCTTAGCTTTTACTTCCTGAAAATCTCATTACTCGTATTTATAAGATTGTTAGATAAATTTCCTGTCTGCCATGTTACTGCAGAAGATTTATTTACCAATAGTTTCACTAATGTATAACACAAGTTGAAATTTTTCCAGCCACTTATAATAATTTTTTCATCATATTTCCAGCTCTCACTTGTGTCTCTGTCTCAAAGCCAGTGCCAAGTATTTTAAGCTTTAGTCATGGCAGACCCTCACAGATAGCTACCAATTTCTGCTGCATAATTTCTCTTAATTGCCGCTTTATAACAAACCACCCCAAAATTCAGTGGTTTACAACAAAAAAACACTTATTGTTACTTATGAAACCACAAGTTGACTGGGCAAATTTGCAGATATGTGTCAGGCTCAGCTGATCCAATCTGGACTTACATATCTGTGGCCTATAGTTCATTGCTATGTCCGTTGGAGAATGTCAAAGCAAAACATTTACTGGACAAAAAGTTCAATAGGGAAGAAAAACCTTACTCAAATCTATTGCAATAGGCAAAGAAGGCAGAACTCAACCTGAATTCAATTTTGCTGCAACAAAGGGTGGGAGGGCTTTGAAGCCCTGGGTGAACTGGTGGGAAAGTACTGGAGGATGTTAGGGGGAAGTCATAGGTCGTCTGTGATTGCTAATTGGCTTTATCCAAAGGAAAAATAAACTTCTCATATCTTTGTGACAAGAGGTAGTTTCACAACTTGGAGCAAGGTGCCATGGAAGTTAGGCTCCTTCCACAGAGACTGGAAGTTAGGGTTCTATCTTCCTCAATGACTACATTCCAAAGCGATGGCTCTCAGGTCTTTGGGAAGGACATTCCTGGGCTCTAAAATTGTCCAGAGCCTTTTTTTTTTTTTTCTTTTTAAAGCTTTATATCTTAAAGGGGCAGAGAAAGCATTTATAAGTTTTCAAAAGAAAATGCTCTAAGGAAAGGGAGTCAGGGGCCTAGAGTCAGGAAGAAACCTGTCGCAAATGTTGGCAAACTGAAGGAACCATTGAGACGCTCTTAGTCGTGGCTGATGCCTGTAATCCCAGCACTTCGGGAGGCCGAGACAGGCGGATCACGAGGTCAGGAGATCGAGACCATCCTGGCTAACACGGTGAAACCCCGTCTCTACTAAAAATACAAAACATTAGCTGGGCGTGGTGGCAGGCACCTGTAGTCCCAGCTACTCGGGAGGCTGAGGCAGGAGAATGGCGTGAACCCGGGAGGCGGAGCTTGCAGAGAGCCGAGATCGCGCCACTGCACTCCAGCCTGGGCGACAGAGCGAGACTCTGTCTCAAAAAAAAAAAAAAAAAAAAAGACTCTTTGTCAGGGACGACTGGGCAAGGACAGTCTTGGATGGGATAATTTTGCTCTGCTCTTAATAGTCTCATTTTCCAGAAGACCAACTCATATTTGTTCTCATGTCAGAGTCGGGGGTCGGGGGTCGGAGAGTTAGAATAAAATCTGGAAAGGCCTCTTGAGGCCTCGGCTTTGGACCGGCCTAGTGACAGTGGCTTCGGACACTATCACTTCTCCTGCATTCTGTTAGCCAAATTACAAATAGATTTATCATGGGGCTGAAAGGTGGGACAATCAATTCCACCTTTAACAGTGGGAATAGGGAAGAATGAGAAGTTACAAGTTGTTTTACAAATGTTGTGGATATGTGTTGGGCTGAAAAATTGGGGTATTTTGGCACTCAATCAATCACAGTAATTATTCTTGCAGATCTGTAATTGTATGCACCATATATACATACAGATTATTATTATTGAAACAGAGCCTTGCTCTGTCACCAGGCTGGAGTGCTGTGGCACAATCTCAGCTCACTGCAACCTCTGCCTCCCGTGTTCAAGAGATCCCCCTGCCTCAGCCTCCCAAGTAGCTGGGACTACAGATGTGCGCCACCATGCCCGACTAATTTTTTGTGTTTCTTAGTATAGACAGGGTTTCACCATGTTTTCCAGGATGTTAACCATCTCCTGAACTGGTGATCTGCCTGCCTCAGCCTCCCAAAGTTCAGGGATTAAAGGCATGAGCCATCACGCTGGGCCTCATACAGATTATTTTTAAACCCCCCCTGAAAATCAAGGCTTTATAATCTGAGAAGAAAAATTTTTTACAAGCCATATTCTGAAATTTTCTCATAACTGCTAGCACAGAAAACACTTAGTATCCCATGACATGGGGTACTGTGTCAAATGGGGTAATATGTCATTGGTCACATATTAACTGAGCTTTAACTTCCAAAAACTAATGTTTTCCCTATTTTCACAACCAGTTTGTGTAGCTGAGGGATCAACACTCTTTATTCTGTGCACAGAGCATGATGACTTGCTTATTGCCTATGCCTGTCGGCCTGCTCTCTTTGCTTTCTGTCTCTACTGTCTCCATCTGTGTTGTCACAGGTTCAACCTTATTAAAGAGCTCTCTTAGAGGGTTTGGGGGAAAGCTGGAGAATAAGCAAGAATAAACTGGCCATGCACCTGAAAGAAGTTAGGTTAGGCAGTAGTAAAATCTTTGGACCGGTTATATGTATAAGCTTTAGAATGCAGGCCAAATGTAAGTAACTGAAGCTACATGTCTCCAGGACAAGAGAGATTCTTACTTATAGTTAAGAGTCCCATAATGTCCTTGCAAAATTACTTCTTGTTATAGAAACAAGATATTAAGGCATGTGGTTGAATAGAACACATAGATGAGTAGATTATTCCCCCTTTCTCCCTTCTCTAATGCATGTCATAGAGGAGTGACAGGAAAGGGAAAAGAGAATGAAGGTGGTGGTGAAGAGAATGAGTAAATGAATGAACAAAGGAACAAAGAAGAGGCATGACAAGAAGGAAGGAACCGAGAGGGCAGAAGGAAGGCTTGCAGAACATAATCAGTTATGCAATGACCTGAGCATAGAGAAAGGGTGTAATCAGGTTGAAATGAATATCAGAAGCATTGATGGAATAAGAACAAAAGTCGTGCTATAAGGTGGCAACTTCCAGCATGGGAGCTAAAGTCAGTGTATGACAGCTGGAAGAAGGCGGTTACTTCAAAGTCAGCCATCCTATTTTTTTTCTTAGGGTTGAGGGACAACTTAGACCTAGGGGTTTCTTGTTCATTGAATGAGTTGTCCATTCCTTTTTTAATGTGCAAGTAGCAGTGCTTTTCTCTATTTTTCTCCACCTCCATTTCCCTTTCTGTTTCTCTAAGTTAGTACATCAAATCATCTGGTCTTGAGAGTAGCATGGGACTAAGCCAAGTGTCCCAGTTTAACACATGCTAATTATGGCTGGAAAATAAAAGAGGGAGTAAAGATCTGGAGCAAGTGATGTGGATTGGGAGAACAGTCAGACCGATCTGGGCATGCTGTCCAACACTGCAATCTATAAATGCTGTGTCCTTGGCAAGTTCCAAGACTCAGTTTCCTCATCTTTAAAATGTTAATAGACACATTCCTCTTGGGATTGTGATGAGGAATGAAATTCAAAAGTGCTTATGGTTCTTGACGGTGAATACTATAAAAATCCCAAAGGAATGAGGTAAGTAATTAATCCAATGTTAAATTCCTGACACTGAGAAAGAACAAGAGGTGGTAGGGTCCTAGAAAAGGCTTTGGCTTAGGAGACCAGCGATCCTCAATTAAAATTCCAACCCTTCGATGTCCCAACTCCAGTATTGAACATGTTATTTTAATTTCCTGAGTTTCAATGTGTCAATCCGAAAATGAAAATAATAAAATCTACTTTGTGTCTCTTGTAAGGACTAATGATAATGCTCGGGAAAGAGCAGCTTAATTATGAAGAGGAATAGTGTTTGGAAAGAAGATGTGGAAGGAATATGTGCCCATCTCATGATCCCCCGACTTAGGCTAGAAAGATTGAGGTGATGTATGGCCCACAAAAAGAATATCAATCCTTGATCAGAAGCAGCAGAAATTGCTTTGACTTGTTAATTGAGACTCAAAGAGCACCGCTTATTAAAAGTGGGATTAATGTCTAAAAGCTAGAGATGGTCGAAAAAACAAAGTAAACAGGTTAGCATCCAGAGCCTACAACCGCTAACATGATTATCCTACAAAAAAGACACGGAAAGCTTAAGAAAATGAACCAGTCAAATAATTGTCTTAATCAGCAAAGTTTGCCTCTGTCAGATTCACTGTGACTTGACTAAACATGCAGCCAGACATCCAGAAATTTTCAGATCCTGAAAAATTAAAACTTTCGAGAACCTGGGACATTTTCATTTTTGTTTCTCTATTCTCTCTCTCTCTCTCTCTATCTCTCTCTCTCTCTCTCTCTCTCTCAGAACTCTCTTCTTTCTCTGCTATAAAACCCTCATTTCTGTAGAACATAGCTTCTTCAACTCTGAAATGTACATATTGCAAAATTCCACATTAAACAATGACTTTCTGTGTCCAATTTTCCTGGTTTTAATTCAAAACACCTAGAAAAGACAATATTGACTCAACTCATATCAAAGGCAATAGATGTTTCAGTCAAGTAAGATGAGAGGGTCAGTGTCATCCTGTTGTCACAGCTATTATGAGCTGGTAGATACTACAAAATGTAAACAAACAAGAGTTGCTTAGGGGAACATAAGCTGCAATAAGCTCTCAGTTCTCTATTTGACACCCATTTAGTGAGTATTTGGCAATTTTTCTCACCGTTGACTTTGTTCTAGTGAAGTAAAGGGAGACAGAAGTACTGAAGAGAAGAAATGCTCAACTGGATAAAGGCAGGAAGAAGAAATATTTGGTAGACTGTTTTTCACTGCCTTTCAGTAGGACAAGGTAAGACAGTCCTTTCGATTACTCTTCCTATATTTCAATTTCCAATTAGAAAACATTTATTTCTCACTTTGGGCTAAGAATTTTTTTGGAAAATCAGGATGAAAGAAGTTTCTCATCATATCTTGTACAAATCAAGGACTATAGGTAGATGCTATGCATCAAATCCCATTCACTTATATGTAAACCCGGCATTAATACAGTAATTATCTAATTTGAGAGTTAATCAATCTCCACATAAGTGAAAGAATAAGTTCCATAGTAATTCCCCACTCATTAAGGATAACTGCTAGCTGATATTTTCTGTTTTTCCCTCCCCCACACTCCAAGTTGTACAGATAAATTTTACTGTCATTTTTATGGAAGCATCTATATGAATCTGAAACTTTTATTATTTTACTCTTTGCATTGATAAATTTCCAAAATAAGCTAATTTTAAGGTCTTGTAAATCATCATTCTGGGTTAATGAAGGATGAGTGTTCCTGAAAGGAAATGAGCTTAACAGAAGCTATTGGGAATATCAGTCAATCTTTGTTCTCATTCTGATCACCTTAGCCAACCTCCCCATTTTTCCTCCAGTTAAACTCCCTACCTGAGCTGCAATTCAGAATTATGTCAGCACAGCATAGGCACATTGGCTGTCTCAGGTTCTGAAATGGATCAATAACACCTGTCCAGAATATGTGTTGGGAGATTATGAGGTTTTATATAGAATGCAGAGATTGGAAATAATGCAGATTGATATTATTCCCACTCGTAAAGTCCAAGAGGAGAATACCAGTATTGATTACCTACCTCTGTCTACACATTTCAGGTACCAGGCTCAATCTCTCACTCTCCCAATCTCACCCAATAACCACTCTATGCATAGTTTCTATTATCCACCTTTTACAAATCAGGAATCTGAGAAGCAGCACGCCCATGCCCACAGTCATGTGGCTAGGGAGTGGTGGAGCTAGGAATCTAGGCAAGACGGTCTGAATGCAGTACTCTTAATACCCATGCTGTGCTATGTTATACAAGCTTTAGAGTATAGGGAGCTAACACTAGCCAAGATGTGGATGCAGGACAGTTAGGCAGGGACCCTCATTAACCCCATAATGTGCTCTTTCCCACAAACTTCACTGCCAAATTTGATGTGGATCTCTAAGTGTCTCTTTTACTTCCCCCAAAACTCTATGGATAGCTGTAATTACTCTTAAATATGCACCTATACAATTACTTGCAAATAGTCAAATTTATGATGATTGTAATAATAAATAACAAGAAGAGATGCTAGTATCTCACCCTATAGCTAAGATATTGGTTTTTGGAGAAAAGAGAGTAACAAAAACATGACCCCAAAACTTAACAGGTCCCTGTTAAGTTTTGACAATAGTAGACTTCAATTAAAAAATATCAAAAGGAGCACGTTAAAAATAATTCTTGTTGCAATAGTGTTTTAGGTTTGTGTATACTTACTGTCAAATAGTATCAAATACGCTTCATTGCAGGTAAATATTTTATGGACTCATTTGTGTTTATAATTCATTGAGTAGCTCATTTCTCTTCTGTCAGTTATTTATGCTTTATCTTAAGGAACAACAAAAACATAAAAATTGCAATATTAGCAAAACCAGTCACTTCTCCCTTCTCCAAAATAATTTGTATCTAGAGAATCTGTTTCAGGTTGATTTTTTAAAATCAAATCTTTACTTGGGAAAGTTCATTTTCTGCTTACAATCAGTGCAGATAAATCTTGGTCTGCTCATTCCCAACCTATTGCCTAGGCAACTCATACACAGATGGTCCATAGTTCAGACAGGTAGGCAATAGGCCATGTAAACAAACCTTCACATTATTGCCAGTACATCTTGGTAATCAAGCCAAAATTTGGCATAGGAGCCAACTGTCTGTGTACACCTTCACATCCATTCTCTTGGGAAGAGGAAGAACTAGGCTTTCCTAAGGTTGTGTGATTTCAGCCTACTGCCGGATGATGCTTCACCAGTAAGCATCCACGGAAGAAGCCGCTTGGCAAAATTGGGTTCATTTTCTCTAAAAATTGTCTAGAGTCAGGGAGGTTTATATATGAGAAATGATGGAAAATGGAATATTTCAATGTGCCAAATGAAAAACTGAAATTTTGCCTGCTAATCAAACAGGAGACAAGGAAAGCAGCCCTCATGGCACAGTGGAATAGACAAAGCTTTTATAAACACAGATTCAAGATCAAATCCTCTTTTGACCATTTTCCACATGTAAGACTCTGGGCAGGTTACTTAATATTGCAAAGACTATTTCTTCATCATCTGTGAAACAGAGATAATGATAATCCAGATTGTTGGGCTGGTTAAATGAGATAATGTCCACAGAATTCTGGCTAAATATCTGCATCAACGTAATTATTATCAAAAGCCTGTTCTCTAACTGCTACTGTCCAGCACCTCCTAACAAAACTACAAATTTAATTTGGGTCTTAAACCCATGATTTCAGCAAAGATCTTTTGTTAATTGCCAGATAAACAGTTCCACAAAGGAAAGATGGCCCTTTTTTGTTGTTGAATACTATTATAATATCAGAGCTAGTATTTCTTCATTTTTTTCAGTATTGTGTGCCTGTGTGTGTTTGTTGAGTACGGTTCTCCAACTCTTTCAATGTCACTCTGTCTTCAATCCACCTAAATCCCTATAATTGTTTAACTTATCCTTTCCTCTGTGTAATCACACTTTGAAGCTCCTTCCAATTGACTTTTAAGATATCATCCCGTTCCATTCTTGGTCCCTGTAATTTAGGCTGGGTAGACTGCGCATCCTTGTTCTAAGGGTAAGCCCATGACTCCAGTCCTGGCCAATGAAAGTGTTAATTGCTATTTTTGTTAAAGTAAATCTCAAATATGAATGTTTTATTTCAGAGATGTCTTCAGGGCCCAATATAAGAAGAAGTTTTCTCCAGAATGATTCAAACATAGAAACAAAGAGAGAAGAAAACAAAAGAAAAGTATTTTGGTGGCATGATTTGAGACCCTAGATCCAGCTCCCTCTGTAACATGAACCTTTTGTTGATATTAGCATAGGTTGCTAAAAAATGAGCTGCATCTAGCCCAGGCTAGATTCAGAGAATCAGAAATGTTTTTCCAGAGAGAACAGATGCGTGTTTCTTCAGGGTTAGCTAAGAGAGGAATGCAAGTAATGGGAACCTTGAAAAGGAAGTACAAGTGCAACACTAT
Source organism: Homo sapiens (assembly GCF_000001405.40). NCBI lineage: Eukaryota > Metazoa > Chordata > Mammalia > Primates > Hominidae > Homo > Homo sapiens. The sequence goes on along the minus strand of NC_000010.11, from coordinate 107,489,189 downwards.
GATAGTACAAAACAGGACAGAGAATTCGGCAATAGAAGAGACTAAGGAAGATTGGTGCTAGAGTTTGTGATGGGGCATGTATATAGTGGAGCATTTTTTGTTGGTGGTGGTCCTTTCATATTTTTTTCTTTTTAATTTAACACCTGCTAACTACAAAAGTAAACGATGGAAAATCTCCAAATAATTAGTGAAAGGAATAAGGGCTATTTCTGAAGAAGTAGAGCTGAATTATCTGGATGTTAAAGCAGTTCATTGAAATAGGATAGCACAAAATCTTAATGGGAGAACCAGGTGAGAACAGTGCTTACTACTAGCAAAGCAGCTCAACATTCCTACTAGGTGCAGAGAAGCATATTTTCTTTCATATAAATCTATGCTTAGGTTGGCTTTTACTGCATTATGTAAAACATTCCCTCTTTCCATGCCTCGTTTGTTTCTTCCTTTAAATTGTCCCTTTCTAACTCTATCATATAGCTCTGGTAAATCCTTTCCATGTAAGTCCAGCCCACAGCATAATCTTTGTCTTCCCCCATTATGATTTTGCCATTACCTTTACAAAACAGAATGCCATACATATTTTTGAATGAATAAATAAATGAATAGTAAGTGAATGAAGATTGAATCATTTGTTCAGTTTTTCAATAAGCAATTATTGAGACCAGATGTGAGCACTGGGGACATGGGAATTAAAAATTTAGTCTTTGTCAAGGGGCTCACAAACGATTGCTTACCAGTGTAGTGTTTTCTAAGAGTAGGGCCTGTTTCTTCTTTCTTCTTTCACTTCTTTCCCTTGCCATGTGTGAATGCATATGTGTGTCTATGTGTGTAGAGCCATGAGATGAAATATCTAAAATATTAATAAATCATATATTCAATTCCATTTCATATGCAAAAAGAACAGGTGATTTTCATTGCAAGAGAGGACTATGAGGTAGATTCAGGCTATGTGTTTACTGGATTCCTCATCATATTTGCTATGAAAGTGAATAGAGGGTGTTGTAGGGCCCTAATATTCTGTATTTTTCAATACTGAGTATGCAGTCTCTACTACAGAACTAGAGAATATCCCAGTTCTGGACTCTTGAGGTGGGGCTTACTGCCATTGTGCAAGGGGGAAATCAAGATTGGGTTATATAATCTATAATGCATGTAAATATTAATGTCTTCAAAAGATGGTTAATTGTCCCTTCTGGCTACTATGTAGAATGACATAAAATCTGGAAAGAGGGAAAGTGTTTTGCTTTCAGGGGAATGAACCTTTAATGCTAGAATTCTAAAGCTTTGATGCATTTATAGATTTGTCTGGGTCATAATTTGTAAATCAAACTTGACCAATGTTCAGTATTTTAAGCAGATGTGAGCTGGCATTGTGTGTTCATTGTTATAAGTTATTTGAACATAAGAATTTTTCTGTTTATGGTAGTTTTTTAATATTTTCTATTTTCTTGAGAAACAGTTCATAGTAATAAAAGGAAATAATGGGTTTTTTGTCCTTTTTTACCTGCTAGTAGAATTTTGATTGAGAACGATACTTTAGTTTCTCTGTGCCTCTATCACCTCTGCAAAGTAAGGATAATGCTCCTGGGCTATTGAGCTGGGAGTTTATTTTTGACCCTTTGAACACATCGTGGTGATCACTCTCTGTTTTTAACCTTTCTATGAATCATTCTTTTCCTTATATGTTGAATCTTGAGTCATAGTCCTCCACATTGCCTTTTTGCAATCGGATTGCACAATCATTGAGGACAAGGATAGGGTCATATTTATTAGAGGCATAGCATACAGTAGGTGCTAAATTAATGTGCTTGAGAGGGGACGAGAAGGAGGCAAAAATAATACACATTTATTTTCTCATTCATTCATTCATTCAATAAATACACATAGGAGAAAGTCATATGAGTATAGATATTACGATTTACAGCCAGTAAGTATGTGTAGAAATGCGACTTCAACTTCAGCCTTTCTTATTTTGTTTCACCAACTGGTCTGCTTCAGGCTCTTCTCCTGAGGCAGTAACATGTTGATATCATGTCTCCTTTGTCATTCCTAAAAAGCTCTTAGGGACCTAAAGCCTGAAGCATACCTAATCATCCACTAAAAAGTTGAGGAAAAGGATGACAAACTGGAGGGAAAAGGACCAATTGAAGGTGATGTGAAATTTTCCCAGCTCATTTCTCCGAGTGTTAGGCTTCTCCAGCAAATGTGAATAGGATTCCTTGATGTGGGGGAGACAACTTCCCTTGCTGCTTCAATCTTCCCTCTGCTTTGTAGAACAAGTGTTGGCTTTGCAGTGTGGACATAATTCCACTAAATTTGCTCACTTAAAAGTAAATCCTCTAATGAAGCATGTTCCAACAAAAAAAAAATTCTAAGACTGGATTGGAAATACCAGACTTAGAAATTTTTTTTTGTTGTTGGAACAGGCTGCATTAGAGAGTTCTTATGACTTCCCTTTATTTTCTAAAATGCATTATAATTGTTCTGAAGTTGAAAAATAAACATCATAGAAACACCATTTTCCCCCTGAGGTAAATTATGTTGACAAGTTAACCTCCTGTAACACTGCCCTCACAGGTATGTGATAGCCCATCTTCCCAGAACAAACATTAAAATAAACATGAATATATGATGAACAGAAGGAGAACTCTATTTTCATTTTATGATAAGGCATTTGAATAAAGCCCTGCACCAGGTCAATTCAGATGGCATGATCAGATCCCTTAACAAATTGTCAAGTTCAGCCTTACCTGTGATCCCATGTTTAGAGTGATTTCAGTTGGAGTAAAATTTGCCTTAACTAAAAAGTGTCTCTTTCTCTACCTATTAACAATTAGGTTAATGTCTGATACTCCACCTTCAATGGTTTCATTTCCCATTGAACCTTTTGTTCACCCTTTGAATTACTAAGACTTAACCCCTCACTTTGCTCATGGGGGCCCATGTGCAAGGAAATCCTTTTCTGACACTCAATTCCTGTCAAATGTGTGCCCAGACTTGTCCCATTTTTTAAGAGCAAGCTCAACTTTTCTTTGTACTTCTCAACAATTTATTTGTATCCTTTCCCTTGTCACAACTCACAAGAGTATTCATTCAATAACTACCTACTAAGCCTGCCCTCCATGCTAGCCACCATGTTAGCCATTAGAGATACAACTTTAGATAACAATAAAATACATCTGAAAAAGTTCTTCTTTGATATTCCACTCTCTAATTGAATTATATTTTTTGAATAGATATAGTATGTGTGTGTATGTGTGTATACAGGATTTAGCAGAAAGAACATGTATTTTAGAAACAGCAGATCCTCAATTTAAATCAGATCTCTACCACTGATAATCTGTGATCCTTAAAAATTGCCTAACTTCTCTGAACTTCAGTTTTTTTCCTTTTAAATGTGGGATAACAATACTCACTTCATGTTAGTCATTAAGTGAAACAATGCATGCCTACAATACAACATAACCTTGTTTGTATGTAGGGTGAGGGCTAAGTAATAAAAATTTTAAAATCTTTAAGATGCTAAGTTTACTCGAAACTATATTCGAGTAAAATTCACCATGTAACAAAGATATGTTTAATCTGTCATAATTAGTTTGATCTGTCATAATGATACAAGTGGCTGCATCTGTCCTTCTTCAGTTCTTCGTTGGTGGGAAGAAGTTGCACTCATTTCACAATCAAGGCCATGACCTGACAATCTCCCTATCCCCCAGAATCTAGCCTTGGTAGTGGTAGTTATTTCAGGAACACCTGCTGTTCTCAAGCGGATCACACAGTCGTGATGGAAGATTTCTGTACGTATGGGTTACAGAATGTCTTGGATTATTCCCCAAATCAGGAAGCCATCTCTGGAGTTAATATGTTCAGTCCTGAAACCCTTCAGTCATTCAGTATCCTCTCTTTACAGATTTAATCTTTCTTCCAAGTGACCTAATGTTGCAGATAAAGGCTTCCTGTGGTCTGGGAATTTGTAATGGGCAGTAATTAATTACAGGTTAAGAAAATAAAACAGGATATAAGGCAGTAGTTTTAAAATTCTGAACAGAAAGAGTCAAGGGTTGGACCTAAACTAATTGGTTTCCTGATAAAGTTTTCCCCCAGGGGCTCCCAGAGACCTTTTATTTTAATGGTTATTTGCCAAGATTAGAGGCTTCTCCAAGCTACTGCCACCTAGTTACCAAGAAAAAAGGCTGAAGAGCATAAACTGTAACAGCCTCCAAGATTTGCTGAATTCAAAAGGGATATCATACCAAAAATTACACTGCAGTGTGAGGGTAATTAGTTTGCCCTTCTCCAAGTTCCTGCCCAAAGGGACCTTATTTGCATTTTATGAATACTATAGAATTGAGACTCAAAGAGAAAGGGATTTGCTCTATCAAGAGTTTCTAAATTAGAGGTGAAGCTTCCTGGTCCTCAGACCTGAGCTTTACTATAAACCTGGTCAGAAACGTAATGAAGAAATGTCTATCATTTATCAATTATTAAATAATAGTGACATAATAAATATCACCTTAATATCCTGAATTAATCAGTGAATTAACCTTTGAAACACGTTCTTATCTTTTAAAACCTCACTATATCTTCCTAGTTGGGGAGGTAGACATGTGTATGAAAAATGATAGCTAGTATTGCATATAGTGTAGAGTATTGCAGAAAGTGGTCCAGACGTCATTAGTGATTATTAACTTAAGTGAAGTCTCCCCAGAGGAAGTGACAGTTAACAATGATATGAAAATATGTAGTACTTACTGGACATGGTGGCTCATACCTGTAATCCCAGCACTTTGGGAGGCCGAGGCAGGCATATCGCCTGAGGTCGGGAGTTTGAGACCAATCTAACCAACATGGAGAAACCCTGTCTCTACTAAAAATACAAAATTAGCCGGGCATGGTGGCGCATGCCTGTAATCCCAGCTACTCGGGAGGCTGAGGCAAAAGAATCACTTGAACCCAGGAGGCAGAGGTTGTGGTGAGCCCAGATCACGCCATTGCACTCCAGCCTGGGCAACAAGAGCAAAACTCCATCTCAAAAAAAAAAACAATTTTATATATATATATATATATATATATATATATATATATATATAGTACTTAGATGAGTGGAGAAATAGGTTAGCCCTAGGAAATGGTATCTATCTCTATCAATGCAAGAATCTTGAAAGCACGGAAGATTTTTGGGGTGGGATAATGTTTTTAAAACATGTCCACGAATTGACTTTACGCTTCTCCAATCGAAAGCCGAAGTTTAGTTGCATTCTCCTTGAATATGGCCCTGGCCTTAGTGACTTGCTTATAACAAATAGAATGTGGTAAAAATGATGCTGCATGTCTTCCAAGGTTAAATCACAAAAGATGTTAGTTTCTGCCTAGCTCTCTCTTTTATGGGGTAGGTGTCTTTGGAAACCTGATCCACCAGGGTCCCGACCCACCAGCTACACCAAAGCTGCCACACTGGGCAGACCACACAGAGATACTACATGAAGAAGAAGATGACTGAAGAAATCTAGGAGATTAATCCCCCAGATCTTTGAGTCTTCTCAGCTCATGGTCCGTACTTGTGAATAAAGAAGCCTTCAAGATGGCGTCGGTTCCAGCTGCCACCTGTCTTCAATTGCATGAGAAATTCAAGCAAAGAATGCCTAGTTTAATTCAGACAACTCCAAGAGTTGTGAGAGGCAAGCATAAAAATGACTGTTGCTTATTGCTCATGCTACTAAATTTGGGGCATATTATTACATAGAAATAGATCACTAAAACAAGAGAATAGTGACAAGATCTGTCTGGCTGGAGGAAAGACTCCGTTCTGGGAGGAAGCGTGAAATAAAACCGGAAAGCACAGTTAGTCCAGACTCAGGGGACCTTGAATGTTTGGTTGAAAAGTTCAGTTCTTTCCTCTTTGACAAAAGTAAACCATTAGACCTCTTCAGAAAAAGATTCCAGCAGGGCCTACAGACCGTGACTTGAAAAGAAGTGACCAATAATACAATGAAAGGCCTAAAAGAGACAAGTGGTGTAAATAGTGACAAAGAGATTCATTCTAAACTCGTACAGTCCCACTCTTGCCTGGGGGCCAATCATGTGCCTTCTGCTTGTTTTCTTAGCTCTATAGTACCTTATGCATGCTGGGCCCCAATAGCTACCTGTGGGCAAGAAAGAGATCATGACTCAACAAATGATAATTTTGACTAAGAGAACTTGGTTCTATTTTTGGCATCACGACTTAGTGATTAAATAAAAATTAAGTAAACTCCATGGGACTAATTTTCTTCTATTGAAATTGGAATAATAATATCTGCTTCATAGAATAGCAACAAGCATCTCATCTTAGTTTTAAACCTCTCCCTAGCTAATTACATAAACACCCATGGTTTCTGTTAGCTTGGATATACAGACCCTTCTAAACATAATTCTCTAACCACAATCTGTTCCCTGAATACTGACAAGTGTATCCACCTTGACCCCTTCATCCCGATGCCCACAGACAACTAAAAATCAGCATGTCTAAAAATAAAGTTGGTCACCTCCTTGTTCCAAACTTCTCCCACCTCTCCTCCACTGAACACAGTACTTAAAAAAAAAGTTATTTCAAAGTAGCCATGACCCAATCCAAAGAAGTAAATTGTAGTGGCAAAATTGGCCCCAGTAAGAGACTATCAGGAGGAAAATGTTTCATTGGAAAGGTGCCTGGCACCACATTTCCCACCATCATAACCAGCTATCTCTTCCAACCAAATTTTGGCTAGCTTCAAGTTACCCCAGGTGCCCTGCTGTAAGGAATATGGCTGTGCTTTGGTCAAGGATAGGCCAAGGTAGGATGTTTCCATCCCACCTGACTCAGCAAGTTTAGAGCGCAGGCATATAACTCCACTTGTTGTCACAGCTGTGTAGCCATAACATGGGGAGGCCATCCCTTGGCCCTATGCTGCTATTGTCTGTAAAAGGTATAATTTCTCTGCTGACAATGTACAGGTGTGCCCGCACCCAGAGAAAGAGAGAGAGAGAGAGCCAGAGCTGTCTGTCTTTGCAGATGAACGGAGGGCGGGGGTTGGCCAGGACACAGCCTGGCCAGCTTGTGCCCAGAGAAAGAGTTAAGCTGCTGACTCTGAAGAAAGAGCAGGCCGCGCAGTCGTGTGTGGGAGCAGCCAAGACAGAGCAGACAGTGTAAGAGAGCTACTGATCAGAGTGGCTGAATAAAGCCATATTTCACCTACCTACGGCCCCCTGAGTGTTCTTCCAGCTATGTGTCATTCATCCACCCACTCCCTTTGGACCTCAGCATGGACTGGAACCTGAACTTGAAACTAACACCTGCATTTACTGTTTATTAAATATGAATGAATTAATAAATGGAAAGTCTTATTGCAATGTATGGACATGTAATTCATGAATTTAAATGGCATATGCCTGCATTCACACACTTGAGTGCACCTACAGCTGAATCAGCTACATCCCAAAGCAAACAACAAAAAATGAAACGTATAACCAAGATGCTCAATAACACCATAGATTATGTAGGTAAGTGTGTGTGATGCTAAACTTATTTCCTTATCTCTCCAAAACATCTTATAATTCCTTGAACATAGAAAATATGAAACACCTACACTGGCATCTGACTGTGGGTTCTCTGGAATGATAGCATGATAACTCAAATAATAGCTGATGCACAGGATTGATAGTCTGAAGACTGTCAATTAGGACTTCCATTTGAAAAGGACCAGATGACACAGTTTAGTCCATCTTTTGGTAACAGAGTATATATAGATCCTAAACAAAACGAAACGACAAATCGTTACCGTTTTCCTCTGCTAGTGATGCCTTAAGAAACTTGGAAGGGGATTCTGCATCTCACCAAGTTCGCTGGGTAACGTTAAACTTGTCTGCCTCTGTGATATCTCCTGTCAAGGAGAACTCTTAGCTAGATTTCAAATCAATCTCAATTAAGATCACAGCTGAGATAAGAACTTCCCTCCTAGTCAGAATAATTAAACTTTAAGTAGTGTTGGTTTGATGTTTTCTTTTAAATAACAAAGAAGGAGGAAAAGATTGTAGTTGCTTATTCTAGAAGCTGTCTCATAAGTCACTGGGGGGTAAAGAGTTTTGAAGAGTTTCTTCTGCTATTTTCCTTAGTGTCCCAGGCTTTTTTTTTTTTTTTTTTCCTCAGCAGCCTGAGCTCATTTACACTTGGCAAATTTAGAAGCAGCTGGGATAGAGCCTAGGTTTACTGAGGGTAAGTGGAAAAGCTTAGGCTGATGGAAAAACACAAGCCAAACTTCAGTCTGCACAAAAGGAGGCCAGGCTTGACACTACCAAAGATGCCAACTGTTTCTGGGTAGCCCAAACCTGCATCTATCTTGCCTTTCAGGTTATTGTCTATGTACAGGTTCAATTGGCTCTGAGTCCTGAGAAATAATACATAAATGCATGATAATGTCAGTCACCTCTGGACCCTACAAATACCCCATGTGAAATTATTTTTCCACTTAAACCTGTAAGAAACCTATTCTCTAGGAGCTTGTTAAAAGGACCCTAGATCATAATGAAAACATGGGAGAATTATTTCTAGCAGTAGGAAAAACTGATGTTTACTCATTACCAGAATATATTTGAATGAAATTAGTGGTGAATGCTTAACCAAGAAAGCCATTTAATAACTACCTCTGGAAAGTTTCATTCAATGTGAAGAACTCAGCATAAGCTATACCCTCACCTACTCTAAGGCACCAGAATGCTAAAAATAACATTTTTAAAAGCATATTATTTCTAGAATACAAGAATGAGGAATTTCAATAGGTGAGAAATATAGAAACCGCCTAAAATGATACAAATGGAAAAGGAATGGGTTGATTACAGTTCCAATAACATGAGAGTATCTTGTGTTACATTTACTCCTCTTTAATAAACTTTAAAACTCTGGAAAAATGGTAAAAATACTGTTTGAAGGCACTAGAGAATGATAAAAATCAGGCAAAAGCTGGAGACCATTTGACCATTTGACCTTTGAAGAAAGGAAGTGGCACTGGGTATGTTACAGATTTTATTTTAGGGTTACTTCACATCATTGTGTGGTATGTGATTGCTGAAACTCAGGTAAAAAGCTGCAGGCTGGTTGGTTTGGTATGCTAGAGCAGGGGTGCCAGCCCCCCAGCTGCCATGGACCAGTACCAGTCTGTGGCTTGTGAGGAACCTGGGCGCACAGCAGGAGGTGAGCAGCTAAGGAGCATTACCGCCTAAGCTCTGCCTCCTGCAGATTAACAGAGCATTGGAGTCTCAGAGGAGTGCGAACCCTGTTGTGAACTGTGAATGTGAGGGACCTAGGTTATGCACTCCTTATGAGAATCTAATGCCTGATGATCTGAAGTGGAACAGTTTCATCCAGAAACCACACACACACACACACACACACACACACACACACACACACACACCGCCTCTGCCTCCGCCTCCACCTCCAGTCCATGGAAAAATTGTCTTCCGTGACACCAGTCCCTGGTGCCAGAAAGCTTGGGGACCACTGTGTTAGAGGACAGAGACTGCAGCTGACAAAGTATCTGGAAATTGAGAGACTAGTCCTGATAAGGGGAAAGCCACATTGGGTTGGCTCCACAATTTACCTGTGAACTCCTCTCACATCGTGGCTGACCCTGAATTTCACATATATCCAAAGAACGTAGAAGAGAGCAATAAGTACATATCTGAAAAAGCTGAGTGGAAATTTCAGCTGTTCTCTACCACAGGTTAAAAAAAAAAAAAGAATTCGGAGCTTGGATACTACCATTAGACAAGTGGTAGTCACCTTGGGTTTTCCACTGAAACCCCAGACGGGGTAAGCTTTAGGAGTAGAGGCTAGGTCCCAGGACTAAAGACTGACCATAGAATTAAGGGAAATCTGAAGGAAGAAAAAAAATTGTAAACCAAAGAATGCACAACTTCATTGTGATCAGTCGATAATTTAAGTACTTATTAAAATAAAAATAAATGCACTTCAGAGGAAGATAACTGAAGCCAGAGTCCACAGTGCATCATACATTCAAAATGTCTAGTAGACAATCAAAATTTACCAAAAGCATAATGAAATGAGGCAATGTTAAGCAAGATTCAGAGAAAGAGCAATCAATTTAAAAAATGTCAATATATCACGTGTTAAATTAACAGAAAAAGAGTGATTTCAAAGTGAAAATCAACAGATTAATTATTTGTAAAGAAACAAATGAAAATTCTAGGATCTCAAATTAAAACATATAAATTGAAAAATGGACCAATGGTCTTTACAGCCAATTGGAGAGCAAAAGAAAATCAGAGTCAATGATAATGAAAACAGATCAATAGAAATTACCCAATCTGAAAAACATAAAAAAGACACGAACAAGACTTCAGTGTTTCAGTATCGGTATAATGGGACTCCTAGAAGGAGAGGAGAGAAAAAAGTAGTGGATTATTTATTTATATTAATAGTTATGATCATTATCACTAATATTTACTGGACACTCACCATGTTCTCCACATTATGCTAAGCCCTTTCACATAGCTTATCAGATTTAGTTCTCTTATCAACTCCGTAACTTAGGTATTAGTAACCAACCAATTTTAAAGATGTGCAAAGGGAGACTCAGAAAACTTCACTGGCTTTCCCAGGTTTCCATATGAAAGATAAATCTAAATATTGCCACACAGGTATGAAGTCTTTCTGATATGTGTGCTTCTGTTCTGATCACCTCTTACCTCCCATTACTAAGTCAGAGTTGTATGATGTATCTGAAGTATTCTAAACCTATCCCTACCCTTGTGTTAATGGGAGATGATGCTATTCTTCATCCTCTGCTGACAAACTGGAAAGGAAGTGTTCCAGGCATCACTATGTCTCATAGCAATATTTTACGGATTTTTGAAAAAGGTGTAATGTTTCCAAAATGACTGATAAATACTAGGAGAAAAATTTTTTAGACTTACTGAAAGCTAGCATATAATCTAACCAGTGATACCTTGGAGCTAGCTCTCATCAGCTTGCAAGAATCTACAGTATACATCTCTTCCCAGGACTATGTTCAGTGACCTCAAGCTGGTAGCTCAAAGTTGGCATAGGAGAATGTTTATGGAGATTAGAAAACACTGTAAATCAGAGCTTTACCCTCATCTCCCTCTTGACACACACACACACACACACACACACACACACACACCCCATCCAGTTGGCAAATATTTGGCAGTCAGCATACCACTGACATTTACCATTGAATGCTACCTCAGTATCTTGATATAATGTTGTATTTTTTAATGAACACACAAAACATCAAAGGTAAAATTTACCTTCATATGAAGCATGAATCTAGGACACATGATATCATCAATGTATCATCTCTCTGTACGTGGGCTCCACTTTCTTCTTTGCATTGGCCTCATTCTCAGACAGGCTGTCCCATTGTGATGAAAAGATGGCTGTGGAAATTATAGAAGGCAAAGAAAAAAAGACCTCCTTTTTTTGGTCGTTTCAACCATATCCTAAGATTAGTTTTATTGGCTCCAATTTATTCCTCTATCTACCTATGCATCCAACTTTGTGGTCAAAAAAGAGGTTCAGGGCTAAATCAGATGCCTCCTTTGGAGCTGGAGGTAGACTCATCTCCACCCAAAGCACACATTGTGAGATTAGGGAAGTTCTAGCTCCTCAGAGGGAAATGAGGGTATTTTTTATTAAGGAAGGGGGATTCCAAGTTGCATGACTAAAATGATAACAGACATTCACTAAACTGAGCAAGTATGCAAATATGCTAGGTTAAACCAGTGTGTAAAATAGGAATCACACTGATTTTTAGACCAACACATGGAATAAGGCTGGTAATACCTTTCCCAGATTATGGGGTTTTTCAGCCTTGCTACAATAGGTTGGTCTTTTATGCCCACTGAAGTCCTCTCATAAAATGAAGACCTTCCTTGCCACTGAGCTATATTTAGCTAGGATCTCAACCAAATTCCTCAGCACTAAATCTTGTCCACATCGTGCCTTAGAGACTCTCTGTGCCACCTAGCACAGTCTCAGAGCAGTGTGAATGAATGACACTGACCTGGTTAAAGGATTAAAAAAAAAAAAAAGGAAGGGCAAAAACTTTATTTTGCCAGTATTGTAAGAGTATAAGAAAAAGAACATGAGTTTAATCTTCTGTGGGGTTTTCAAGTGATCTGGGATTTAGCATAAGAAATATGAAATGCAATCTGAAACCTTGAAAAAGAATGTGATTTTATGTTTTAGTCTTATTTAAAATGAATGAGGCTGCCAGTTCCCATTTCAGCAACTGTATTTTATAAAGCTATGCTTTGTAGGTTGATCCTGCTGCACACACAGATTACCAGAGAGGTACCGTCTGGTTTTGCAGAGTGGGGGAGCAGCCCCTTGAGACATAGCTAAAGCAACAAGCAGAGAAAGGTAAATCTCTGGCTTTCCACTTATTTTCCCTCTTTTCACTTCCCCCTGCTCTTTGAATAGGGTTGCCTTGCTTTACAAATGCTTTATTCTGCCTTGGATATGGTTTTCATTTTTGTTTGCCCAAAGTGAAGCCTGTCCACACATTTCCAGATCAAAGTCTTATGTGGGGAGAAGGGACTCTGTTGCTCAAATGCCTGGTCAAATTTCACTGTTATGGAAAGGCTTGTATGTTCACTGTGCTGGATCAAGAGATCGCCTTTTCACTAAAGCATAACGATCTACTTTGAAGTTTAGGATCTCAACCCTTGTCCTGACTACTTTCATAAGCACCTACATGACTTTGTATATACCTCTATCTTCAATACACCCTCTCAATCCTTCATTAACCTAAACCCCTGTATTTACTAACACCTCACATCTATTCATGTAGTTCCCTCCTGCCACCATAAAAATCCCCCTTCTCTTTTATCCATCCATGTAAAGATTGAACATATTTTAAGACCTACTTTAAATCGTATCACTTCCTTTCCAAATTGTTCCCATTATGCTTCCTTGGCCCATTCCCAAAACCCTACAGCAATTATTATTAGCAAAATTCATTCTCATATTTAATCATGGAAGTTCTTATTTTCTTACATAGTTCTCATTTTTTACATTTTCAGAGCCAAGGAAACCTGCGTACTTCTAAAGAGCTTGACCTACAGCTTTGTATTCCTCATATGTCTAAATTTACAGTAACACTTGTTGCTGGAGTGATGCCAATTCTCTCTTCATCTCTATGCCTAGTTCAGAGGCTATCACATTTCTCTGAACATGGATTACTTAATTCTCAAACTTCAGTGTATTTCAATAATCTAGAGGGTTTGAAGGGAAAAAGGAGAGAAAGACACTTTCCTGGGATCCACTCCTGAGGATATAATTTAAAAGGTCTTGGATAAGTTTAGAAATTTCACTTTTCTTTTGGCCGGGCGCGGTGGCTCACGCCTGTAATCCCAGCACTTTGGGAGGCCGAGGCGGGTGGATCATGAGGTCAGGAGATCGAGACCATCCTGGCTAACAAGGTGAAACCCCGTCTCTACTAAAAATACAAAAAATTAGCCGGGCGCGGTGGCGGGCGCCTGTAGTCCCAGCTACTCGGGAGGCTGAGGCAGGAGAATGGCGTGAACCCGGGAAGCGGAGCTTGCAGTGAGCCGAGATTGCGCCACTGCAGTCCGCAGTCCGACCTGGGCGACAGAGCGAGACTCCGTCTCAAAAAAAAAAAAAAAAAAAAAGAAATTTCACTTTTCTTTTATACAATTAAGAACAATGATTCTGCACCAGATGAGGCAAGACCAAACTCTGGAAAATGTTTATGAGGAAGTATTGATTCTTTCGGGGTGTTTCTGAGGCATGAGTAAATGCTATCTTAAAAAACAAGAACATTCCTGCTCTCCACACAGCCACACTGCCCCCAACATTCTAAGCATTTAAAAAATGGTAGGACAGGAAAGAGAAGAGATTGCTACTGAGAATGTGAAGTTTGAAGACTGTCTCTGGCCTGGAGATGCGGAGTAGCCCAAGTTTCTCTCATAAGTTAATTTTCCAGATTCAACAGAGGGAAGCCATACACAAAGCCAATATGTTGTATAAGACTCTTAGGATTTGCAAAGGCCACGAGGTAGAGTCCCAGGCTACTCATTTACCTAACAAATCTTGTAATTTGATTCTCTCAATTTTGTATTACTTACCAATTGTTTTTAAATAGACATAAAAGCATCTGATCCTACTCACAACCCAACCTTTGTATATTATTGAAGTGTCATGTCACACAGAGCCTTTTTCCTGTTCACCACATAAGAAGCTTTGGGGACAGGGCAGGTTGAGGCAGGATGTTGAGATATTTCCACTGCTCATCTAGAACCAGCTGGTATCCCCAGCAGGGACTTCATTTATGAAGCTCCAGAAACTGTGGCCAAGGACACACATGAAACATAGATGTGTGGCAGAATTGCACAATAGAAACAGTTTCATTTTCGGTCCAGGAGATATGAGTTCTGGTACCCAGTCTGTACAAAATAAAGATAGCTAATTTTATTAAGCCCTTGGCTAAAAGTTTCTATTCCATTCATTTTCTTCCTTGAGCTTCCCAACAATGTTACATTGTCCATTTTGCAGAGAAAGAAATCATGTTTCAGAAAAATTAAATGACTTGCCTAATGTTGCACAGCTTGTAAGTGGTAAACTGGAGATTTCAAGCAGAGAGGCTTATTACTCCAAATCACTCTAAACTACTCCAAACCACTAAAATGCTGTGCACTGCTTCACATGTTAAGAACCTCAGATAACTTCATGTGTATACCTCTTTAATATATGGGTATGTATATGCCAATTCTGGGTATTGCGTAGTATTAAACTACAGTTCAAGTAAAAAACATACATATAAGAGAGAGGCAAGGTACAATTAACTGTCTACAATATCTAGACAGGTAATGTGGAGCATGTAATTCTGTCAAAATGGGTATGTACCATTTAGCTCCAGCCCACTGTTACTACTTGAGAATGCTACCCTAAAACTGCAAGCTCTTTCAATGTTTCTTTTCCAGAGTAGTATGTGAAATCTTTGACTTTTAATTGCTAGCTTTATATATATATATGGCTATAATAAATTAAAACAACATGTCTGCAGGCTGTTAGCCTGAATTCTATGCATTATACAAATGTAATATCTTAATATAAGGAGCCTTTTGTAGCAGGAGATAGGAGGAAACCACTTAGTCCACCAGGATGTCCATGTCTTGTCTCTAAAATGGATCTAAGAGTTAGGGAGTTGCACCATGTGAGTCTTAAGGTTTTCAACCCTACCTACTTCTACATTTTCAGATTCTCATATGAAAAATCACAGTGTTGATGTTAAAAAACCTACATTATGATTGAGAATATAGAAATCATATAGGCAAAAAAGACCTAAAATTCCTTTTGCAAAAGCTTACAGGCAAGAATATATTTGCAACATGTTTGTGGAAGAAGTGACTGAAATAAGACATTGAAAATACTTTAAAGAGGGACAGTTATCAGAAAAGTATAAAGATAAGGCCACTGAAACTCTAGCAATGAAATAGCATTTGGTAAAATCTAGTAAACAAGAAACTGGGACTCCAGGACAGGGGCTTTATCAGGATACATTAGACACGTGGGAGAAAAGATGTAGGAAAATAAATCTTTTCATATAACTGGAGCATTTTCAAACAGAAAAAAAAAGTGGTTAAATTTGTTTATTCATAACCCCCATGGTTAGAATTGGCTTTAATGAATGGACAATACTGATGACAGCTTTTATGTGTGTAGAAGGAAGAACTGTGCAAATCTGTCACATGAGGACACGCCTGTTCCTGGAGACAGTCAGTTCACTATCACTGAAAAGAAGCTAGAAGAACAAATAACAGGGCCATTGAGAGGAAGATTTGAGCATTGGAAGAAGGAGTAAATGATGTACTGGCTTACAAACCTGACTGCTCATCAGAATCATCTAAGACAATTTTAAAACATGAAAGCAGGAGACAGTCTGATTCACTAGGTCTACGGGAAAGCTGAGCACCAGTGTTTGGAGCAAGAAATCCCTGGTTATTCTGTTGCAGGCACCTGCCAGTGGAACCTATGGACTCAGTTCTCCTCAAGGCCTCTTTCAGGTTTAAAATTCTCTAACATAGCTTTAAATATGTTTACCTTGTATTGAGCAGACATGTTGTGGGATGCAAGGTGCTATTTGTATTTCATTCATTACCTTTTCTAATGCTTCTTCCATTCCATGGGCTTGTCCCTTTTATAAATGAGTAAAGTGATACTTTGTAAGGTTATGGTGATGAAATAGAAACATGAATACACATACAGCCCAATCCACATTACGTTGTGCCCGAAGGAGAGAGTTGTGCCTGGAATCAAGGGATTAGGGAAGTCAGAAAAGAGGTGCCTCTAGAAAGATGGTAACACCTGTGCCAGTTTTATGAGCAATGGCTCCTATAAAGTCTTCTATCACCAATAGAGCAATTAATTACCAGTCATTCAACTCATCCCTGAATCCTGAAGTGCCTTCTGTAGTATGTAAATACAGATAATTCAAGGACGAGGTATAATGGAAAGGGGAGATACAAGAGAAAAACCTGGGAAAAATATTTTTCCAGAAGGGGTGATATTTATCCAATTAATGCTTGGCTTCCTGCCAATATTTAGTGCATAGCTGTACATAGAGCCACACAGAATTTTCTCAAGAGGAGTTGGTTGGGCAGGAAACTATGGTAAATGTGTAAAGCAAACCTAATAATACAAACACCATCAGTGTGACCAGTTTCAGAAAGGGTGAAGTGCCTGTATTATTATACACTTCAATTTCCAATGCCTTAGTTGCAGAAAGGCAGCATAGGCACTTTGTGATGATCAGGTAACCTCATTCACCTCTTTAGCATCCTTTTTCTCTCCAGTATAGGAAAATAGATTTTTTTTTTTCAATCCAAAGCCAACCAGATTTGCTAAATAACCTCTGACTAAGTAAAGGTCTCAGGTCTTAGATCTCTTTCTTCATTAACAAGTCAACATCCAGCATTGTTGCTTCCAGCTTTTAAAAAAATCAAACAAAGATGCTTGCAGACATCATCAGCAGGGCCAGTGAGGCATGCATTACATTTCCAGAATCATAAATAACAAAGGCAGGAGCCTTTACTTAGTGTGTATGCCTGTGTGTGTATCGTCATATAATAATATTATGATTAGATTTCACGTTTTAAAACAACCCTATTTATACTAGAGGTGAGGACCTTTCCAGAAATAACAAAAGGGAACTTGGGCTGTACATTACCACTTACTCAGGTGTTTTGTGTTCTTCTGTAATAAGATGATTAATGACAAATAAGTTAATTGGCCTTTGAAATGCCGTTCTCTCTGTATCCATGACTTGCGCTATGTTGACATATTCTTGTGGTGTGGTAGGAGTTATTAAGAAATTGTTTTAGGCAGATAGAGAGGAAAAGGGGTACATGGAAGGTTTTTTCACAGCTCCAAAAAAGTGTTTCTTGTCTAGCATGAAAGTCCTGGTTCTTAGACCCAGGCTGGCAACCTTTAATACGCAAATGCAAGCCGTTGGAAACCGGGTCCACCCAACATGGCAATTCCCACTGTTGCTCTCTTGCCCTTGCCCCTACATGTGCCTGACAGCATGGCCGCCCCCACATATCCCTACATGTGTAGAACATTATGGTGCCCTGTATTTGCATATTAAAGAACTGGGATGGGAGGGCCAGGTTTTTCACGGTCTATATAAACGACATGCATGGTCAAACTAATCCCCTGAGCCCTATGGAAATCAGACACCATCTCCTCCAGCCTTTGCATAGAACTGGCTGGTATCCTCCGAATTCAGGGTCTCCTCTTTAGGCTTTGGAGCCCCCCTCCCTCTGTCTCTGTACTGGGGAGCTTCTTCCTTCTACCTTCTCCCCTTTTGCCTATTAAACTCTCCTCTCCTTAAAACCACTCCACGTGTATCGGTGTCATTTTATCTAATTCAACTCGAAACGAAGAACCTGGTGTTCCTCCCTTCATCAAAGCCATATCAGTGGCACAAAATATCTGTGACCTCTAAAGAGAGAATACCTTCAAATCTGAAGGGTTTAGAAAGAAATTAGATGGAAGACCAAGTATGAGGCTCTTTATAGTGGGACAGTAAGACTACATAGTAGTAGATATCTACGCAGCTTGCTTCAGAGATAAGAGCTGGACCTTAATCACGTCCAGTAAAGAGCACATACTCTGTGAGTGTTTGATAAACTGATATGCATTTGAAATTTGATTGGACGTAAGAGTTAAAAATGATTATTGGGTATAACACCTACCTCAGGGGTAGGCAAACTACTTCCCAGGGGCTGCCTATTTTTGTAAATAAAGTTTTATTGGAAGATAACCATACCTTATATAACCTTTGTTTACATAATAACTATAGCTATTTTTGTGCCACAGTGGCAGAGTTTGAGTCATCACAACTGAGACCATATGGCTCCTGTCCTACATGATTGGAATGGTGTTGGTGGGAAACACAGAGGAAGTATATGTTTGGGGTGGGTAGAAAGTAATGAGTTTGATTTGACCAGTTGGTTTCCTCAATAGCTACTATTGCTGTAAGAAACAATGCATATAAAAGAGGAAAGAAAAGTATAAATTATGTTGTCAGTATTATGTAATATAAAATAATGTCTCTAAATTTAAGAAATATTGTGGGGTTTTCTTTAACACTAGACTTTTTAGTAAAGTATGATCTGAAAATCCTGCCATGTAGTCTGGAAGTAAGGAATAAATAACACCCAAAAATATGAAAGAAAAAGAATGATTATTAATATCAATTTTTAAAAGATCTTGAAACTGTTTTATGAAGAATTTTATTTATTTATTTATTTATTTGGACGAAGTTTTGTTCTTGTTGCCCAGGCTGGAGTGCAATGGCCCGATCTCGGCTCAACGCAACCTCCGCCTCCTGGGTTCAAGTGATTCTCCTGCCTCAGCCTCCCATGTAGCTGGGATTACAGACATGTGCCACCACACCTGGCTAATTTTTTGTATTTTCAGTAGAGATGGGATTTCTCCATGTTTGTCAGTCTGGTCTCGAACTCCCAACCTCAGGTGATCTGCCTGCCTTGGCCTCCCAAAGTGCTGGGATTACAGGCATGAGCCACCACGCCCGGCCCTCATGAAGAATTTTTTAAAAAGATGTATTAGAATGGTGTATTAGAGAGCAGTTAAGAAATTAAAACTGCACTAGTTATTTCAACAAAGTGAATGTACCACAGGATTTGTAAGTAAAGGGCAGGCTACGGGTAACAAGAATAATGCAGGAAAGATTGCTGCCTAGGCATTAGAAGTAGAAGACCACACCTAAATGGCTTAAGCCTATGCCAAAGTGGAGCTTAGAGGCATCTTTCCCACCTAACACACTGAGTTTTCTGGGGCCACTTCCTTAAAAGGGACTATTTGGGCATTTGCTTGTGAACTTAAAGTGACCCATGTCCTATTCTGTTATATATATTGCTAGTTGCTGTACATAGTGTCTCTCTCTGCCTGACTCTTCATTCCTGCCTTGCATGACCCAGGGGTGGAAAACTGTCCTCCTGACTCATTGTGCCCTCTCTGCCCAGAATCTCTAAGTAAAAATCTTGCTCTTGTTTCCTATTGTGGTGATGTATTGAATTTGCTCCTTTCATCTGAAAAACCATGAGCTACCCCAGGCCATTGTTTCCATGGCATATCAGGGAGAACACAAGGTTGGATTCCCAGCTCCAGAGAGAAGGCCAGGTAGGCATAAACTGGACACAGGTCAGGAAAGAGTCACAGGGACGTCTGCCAGTATAAACAAGTTTCCTGTGTTTGGGACCCCTGCTCACATTTTGGACAACCAGGCCTTAGGATGTTCACCAGGTATAAGAAGTATCTTGTGAAAGGCACACTGCAAATACCCTGTCCATCTCCCATTCATCTTCCATTAGGGCAGAGTTGCTAGCTGTGCTAATGCTGGAGCCCCAGTGTAGCTGGGGGCTCTTGAAACACTACCCTTCTTTGATATTGGAGGGCAGGATGTTTCTGAAGTCAGCACAGAAGCAGAGACTCAAAGTCTTGAAATTATTTGCCTCAACTAAATCTATCTAACTGTTCCCTCCAATTTTCAGAGGGAAAATTTAGAGGTGTTTCAGAACCCCATCCCATCTCTATCAATGCCTTGACTATCACATAATAGACACAGCATGTCTTTGAATTCAACTTACGTTGTAATTCTGCAACCCAAACAATCATATTGTGTAGGGTAATTATCACTAAGGTTATCCTTACAGATATAAGGAGTTAGAGAATTAGAGTACATCATTGATGTACTCTAATTCTTTTACCATAATTTTTTACCATAATTCTTTTACCATAATTTATTTAAGGGGTTTAAGGCCCAGAGCTTGTAATCTTTTTGTGAGCTTTCCAGTAGTTACAAATAGTCATTCTGCTCCCACAGCTCTTACAGCTATAATGACAACCCCAGTGATAAAGTACATCATTCACTTGATTCCCCAAAGCTCCTGCATCATCACATCAAGTTTACAGTGAGCATTAGTATACCCACCTATATTCTCCCACAACATTTTACTATATGTATTTTATCATGTATCTGTCCATGAGTCCATACTCTATCCATCTCATTTTAATATACTTACATAAATTGCATACATCATTATATTTCATTCTAAATATTTATTAACTAGACTTCAGTATTTGTGTAAAGTGTTTTCCCTCCTTTTTAGGCAAGATCTATATACCATAAACACACTAATGTAAAGGGTACATTGAGTGGGTTTTGACTCAAACCTGTTATATTTCACTTGCCTAATTTTTTGCAGATAGATTATAATATACTATTGATTTTTAGATATTATTAGTAATATATTTTGTAGTCTTGCTAAATGCACTTACTAGTTCTAACAGTTGTTCTGCAAGTTTTGTAAGACTTCATGAAAATAATTTATTTTTATTTATTTTAATTCTTTTTATTTATTTATTTCAATGACTGGAACCTCTGCTGTAACATCAAATAAAAGAAGAAAAAGGAGCATTTCTGCCTTGTTCTCAATATTAGGCAGAACGCATTCAACATTTTTCTATTCAGTATGTTAGCTTAACTTTTTCATAGATGCTCTTTATCATGGATATTTCCTTCATTACATCAAGAAAATTCCCTTCCAAATTGCTGAAAGTTTTTTTTTTTTTTTATTATACTTTAAGTTTTAGGGTACATGTGCACATTGTGCAGGTTAGTTACATATGTATACATGTGCCACGCTGGTGCGCTGCACCCACTAACTCGTCATCTAGCATTAGGTATATCTCCCAATGCTATCCCTCCCCCTTCCCCCCACCCCACCACAGTCTGAAGAGTGTGATATTCCCCTTCCTGTGTCCATGTGATCTCATTGTTCAATTCCTACCTATGAGTGAAAATATGCGGTGTTTGGTTTTTTGTTCTTGCGATAGTTTACTGAGAATGATGATTTCCAATTTCATCCATGTCCCTACAAAGGACATGAACTCATCATTTTTTTATGGCTGCATAGTATTCCATGGTGTATATGTGCCACATTTTCTTAATCCAGTCTATCATTGTTGGACATTTGGGTTGGTTCCAAGTCTTTGCTATTGTGAATAATGCTGCAATAAACATACATGTGCATGTGTCTTTATAGCAGCATGATTTATAGTCCTTTGGGTATATACCCAGTAATGGGATGGCTGGGTCAAATGGTAATTCTAGCTCTAGATCCCTGAGGAATTGCCACGCTGACTTCCACAATGGTTGAATTAGTTTACAGTCCCACCAACAGTGTAAAAGTGTTCCTATTTCTCCACATCCTCTCCAGCACCTGTTGTTTCCTGACTTTTTAATGATTGCCATTCTAACTGGTGTGAGATGGTGTCTCACTGTGGTTTTGATTTGCATTTCTCTGATGGCCAGTGATGATGAGCATTTTTTCATGTATTTTTTGGCTGCATAAATGTCTTCTTTTGAGAAGTGTCTGTTCATGTCCTTCGCCCACTTTTTGATGGGGTTGTTTGTTTTTTTCTTGTAAATTTGTTTGAGTTCATTGTAGATTCTGGATATTAGCCCTTTGTCAGATGAGTAGGTTGCGAAAATTTTCTCCCATTTTGTAGGTTGCCTGTTCACTCTGATGGTAGTTTCTTTTGCTGTGCAGAAGCTCTTTAGTTTAATTAGATCCCATTTGTCAATTTTGGCTTTTGTTGCCATTGCTTTTGGTGTTTTGGACATGAAGTCCTTGCCCATGCCTATGTCCTGAATGGTAATGCCTAGGTTTTCTTCTAGGGTTTTTATGGTTTTAGGTCTAACGTTTAAGTCTTTAATCCATCTTGAATTGATTTTTGTATAAAGTGTAAGGACGGGATCCAGTTTCAGCTTTCTACATATGGCCAGCCAGTTTTCCCAGCACCATTTATTAAATAGGGAATCCTTTCCCCATTGCTTGTTTTTCTCAGGTTTGTCAAAGATCAGATAGTTGTAGATATGCGGCGTTATTTCTGAGGGCTCTGTTCTGTTCCATTGATCTATATCTCTGTTTTGGTACCAGTACCATGCTGTTTTGGTTACTGTAGCCTTGTAGTATAGTTTGAAGTCAGGTAGTGTGATGCCTCCAGATTTGTTCTTTTGGCTTAGGATTGCCTTGGCGATGCGGGCTCTTTTTTGGTTCCATATGAACTTTAAAGTAGTTTTTTCCAATTCTGTGAAGAAAGTCATTGGTAGCTTGATGGGGATGGCATTGAATCTGTAAATTACCTTGGGCAGTATGGCCATTTTCACGATATTGATTCTTCCTACCCATGAGCATGGAATGTTCTTCCATTTGTTTGTATCCTCTTTTATTTCCTTGAGCAGTGGTTTGTAGTTCTCCTTGAAGAGGTCCTTCACATCCCTTGTAAGTTGGATTCCTAGGTATTTTATTCTCTTTGAAGCAATTGTGAATGGGAGTTCACTCACGATTTGGCTCTCTGTTTGTCTGTTGTTGGTGTATAGGAATGCTTGTGATTTTTGTACATTGATTTTGTATCATGAGACTTTGCTGAAGTTGCTTATCAGCTTAAGGAGATTTTGGGCTGAGACAATGGGGTTTTCTAGATATACAATCATGTCATCTGCAAACAGGGACAATTTGACTTCCTCTTTTCCTAATTGAATACCCTGTATTTCCTTCTCCTGCCTAATTGCCCTGGCCAGAACTTCCAACACTATGTTGAATAGGAGTGGTGAGAGAGGGCATCCCTGTCTTGTGCAGTTTTCAAAGGGAATGCTTCCAGTTTTTGCCCATTCAGTATGATATTGGCTGTGGGTTTGTCATAGATAGCTCTTATTATTTTGAAATACGTCCCATCAATACCTAATTTATTGAGAGTTTTTAGCATGAAGGGTTGTTGAATTTTGTCAAAGGCCTTTTCTGCATCAATTGAGATAATCATGTGGTTTTTGTCTTTGGTTCTGTTTATATGCTGGATTACATTTATTGATTTGCGTATATTGAACCAGCCTTGCATCCCAGGGATGAAGCCCACTTGATCATGGTGGATAAGCTTTTTGATGTGCTGCTGGATTTGTTTTGCCAGTATTTTATTGAGGATTTCTGCATCAATGTTCATCAAGGATATTGGTCTAAAATTCTCTTTTTTGGTTGTGTCTCTGCCCGGCTTTGGTATCAGAATGATGCTGGCCTCATAAAATGAGTTAGGGAGGATTCCCTCTTTTTCTATTGATTGGAATAGTTTCAGAAGGAATGGTACCAGTTCTTCCTTGTACCTCTGGTAGAATTCGGCTGTGAATCCATCTGGTCCTGGACTCTTTTTGGTTGGTAAACTATTGAGTATTGCCACAATTTCAGCTCCTGTTATTGGTCTATTCAGAGATTCAACTTCTTCCTGGTTTAGTCTTGGGAGAGTGTATGTGTCGAGGAATTTATCCATTTCTTCTAGATTTTCTAGTTTATTTGCGTAGAGGTGTTTGTAGTATTCTCTGATGGTAGTTTGTATTTCTGTGGGATTGGTGGTGATATCCCCTTTATCATTTTTTATTGTGTCTATTTGATTCTTCTCTCTTTTTTTCTTTATTAGTCTTGCTAGCGGTCTATCAATTTTGTTGATCCTTTCAAAAAACCAGCTCCTGGATTAATTAATTTTTTGAAGGGTTTTTTGTGTCGCTATTTCCTTCAGTTCTGCTCTGATTTTAGTTATTTCTTGCCTTCTGCTAGCTTTTGAATGTGTTTGCTGTTGCTTTTCTAGTTCTTTTAATTGTGATGTTAGGGTGTCAATTTTGGATCTTTCCTGCTTTCTCTTGTGGGCATTTAGTGCTGTAAATTTCCCTCTACACACTGCTTTGAATGCGTCCCAGAGATTCTGGTATGCTGTGTCTTTGTTCTCGTTGGTTTCAAAGAACATCTTTATTTCTGCCTTCATTTCGTTATGTATCCAGTAGTCATTCAGGAGCGGGTTGTTCAGTTTCCATGTAGTTGAGCGGTTTTGAGTGAGATTCTTTTTTTTTTTTTTTTTTTTTTTGAGACGGAGTCTCGCTCTGTCGCCCAGGCCGGACTGCGGACTGCAGTGGCGCAATCTCGGCTCACTGCAAGCTCCGCTTCCCGGGTTCACGCCATTCTCCTGCCTCAGCCTCCCGAGTAGCTGGGACTACAGGCGCCAGCCACCGCGCCCGGCTAATTTTTTGTATTTTTAGTAGAGACGGGGTTTCACCTTGTTAGCCAGGATGGTCTCGATCTCCTGACCTCATGATCCACCCGCCTCGGCCTCCCAAAGTGCTGGGATTACAGGCGTGAGCCACCGCGCCCGGCCTTGAGTGAGATTCTTAATCCTGAGTTCTAGTTTGATTGCACTGTGGTCTGAGAGATAGTTTGTTATCATCTCTGTGAGGTGTCAGTGTGCCCCTGCTGGGGGGTGCCTCCCAGTTAGGCTGCTCGGGGGTCAGGGGTCAGGGACCCACTTGAGGGAGGCAGTCTGCCCGTTCTCAGATCTCCAGCTGCATGCTGGGAGAACCACTGCTCTCTTCAAAGCTGTCAGATAGGGACATTTAAGTCTGCAGAGGTTACTGCTGTCTTTTTGTTTGTCTGTGCCCTGCCCCCAGAGGTGGAGCCTACAGAGGCAGGCAGGCCTCCTTGAGCTGTGGTGGGCTCCACCCAGTTCGAGCTTCAGGCTGCTTTGTTTACCTAAGCAAACCTGGGCAATGGCGGGCGCCCCTCCCCCAGCCTCGCTGCCGCCTTGCAGTTTGATCTCAGACTGCTGTGCTAGCAATCAGCGAGACTCCGTGGGCGTAGGACCCTCTGAGCCAGGTGCGGGATATAATCTCGTGGTGCGCCATTTTTTAAACCTGTCCGAAAAGCGCAATATTCGGGTGGGAGTGACCCGATTATCCAGGTGCATCCGTCACCCCTTTCTTTGACTTGGAAAGGGAACTCCCTGACCCCTTGCACCTCCCAAGTGAGGCAATGCCTCGCCCTGCTTTGGCTCGCGCATGGTGCACGCACCCACTGACCTGCGCCCACTGTCTGGCACTCCCTAGTGAGATGAACCCGGTACCTCAGATGGAAATGCAGAAATCACCCGTCTTCTGCCGTCTTCTTCGTCGCTCATACTGGGAGCTGTATACTGGAGCTGTTCTATTTGGCCATCTTGGCTCCTCCCCCGAAAGTTTTTTGTAACAGAATTTTTCAAATGTGCTTGTGCAAGTATTGAAATGATTATGCAGTTGAATACATTTCTTTAATATTTATTGTTCAGTTCTGCAAGCAATTGATTCTCTCAGGTTTGTTTGAAAACCATTTTTTTAATTTATTTTTGAAACATATTTTTTGTGGTTATAGAAATCTGACCAGGTAATTTTTTGTTCTTTCGGTGTTTCTCTGCTTTCTACTTTAAAATTTAGAGGTGTTCCTTACTTCATTGTTTTCTAAGTTGCTATGTTCTGAAAAGAGATCTGTGGTTACCCAGACATAGTCTTCTTCTGTACTTTATATATTCCCCCTGCCCTGGCTACATTCAAGATTTTTCTTGTATTTTTATGCCTCAGGAGTTTGACTATGATAATGCCTGTGTGTGTCTATGTGTGTGTGTTTGGTTTGGTTTAGTCTGGCCTCGGTTTTTTTGGTCGTGGGTTTGGTTCTTGTTTTTGCCTTTCCAAGTTCTTAATTGGAATTTTGAACTTTGTGGATCTGTGGTTTCTTGTCTATTAATTTTGAAAAATTCTTGGCCATTATCACATTAAACACTTCTGAAACAACCATCTTCCTCTCCTCTACCTGGGACTCCAATTACATGTATGTTAGAGAAAAGCTGTTTTCCCACAATTCTTAAATGTTCTGTTCAGTATTTTCTTAACATTTTTTCCTCCTTTTATTTCATTTTATTTTTATTTATTTATTTATTGAAACGGGGTCTCACTCTGTTGCCCAGGCTGGAGTGCAGTGGCGTGATCTCAGCTCACTGCAACCTCTAACTCCTGGGTTCAAGCGATTCTCTTGCCTCAGCTTCCCAAGTAGTTGGAATTACAGGGACCTGCCACCACACCCAGCTAATTTTTGTATTTTTAGTAGGGTCAGGGTTTCACCATGTTGGTCAGGTTGGTCTCGAAATCCTGACCTCAGGTGATCCACCCGCTTTGGCCTCCCAAAGTGCTGAGATTACAGGTGTGAGCCACTGTGCCCGGCCCCTTTTATTTCATTTTAGATAATTGATATTGACCTACCTATTCTCAAATTTGTTGACTTTTTGTTGTGATATTATTGAAAAGTCCTTTGAAAACATTCATAGTGTGTGTGTGTGTATAAGTGTGTGCACGTGTGTGATTTCTAACACTATTATTTCACTCTTTTTATTGATTCCTTTTGTGGTAAGAAGAATAATGTTCCCCTCCCCAATATATTCACATCCTAATTCTCAGAACCAGTGAAATGTTATATTTCATGGCAAAAGGGATTTTGCAGATATAATTAAAGTTAAGAATTTAAGATGGGGAGAATATCCTGGATTACCCTCACGGGCCTAAAATAATCACACCAGCCCACAAAAGCAGATAATTTTCTCTGGCTGGAGGCAGAATAGATGTGACAGAAGTAAAATCAGATAGAATTGAAGCATGAACAAGACTTGACACCATGATTTATAAAGATGGAGGGGGTAATATGATGAGGAATTCAGGTGGCTGTAAGGAGTTAAGAGAAAATCCTGGCTTGACAGCAAGAAAACAGAGACCTCAGTCCCACAATGACAAAGAGTTGAATTCTGACCATTTAGTTGTCATTAGAACATTATATAGTTCACTATTTATTAAGGTCATCTTGCTTTCTTTTCTCAAAGCTTTGTTTTTTTCAGCATCCAGATCTTTCAAATATTTTGCTGGATTATAATACTTTCATTTTCTGTTATGTTGTAATTGGTAATTTTCTAAATAATGATTTTTAAAAAATTGTTTTTAGAGGTTGTCCTAGAGTTGAATACATCTTACATATTTAATTTATTCAATTTTCAAGTATACGACTTCATGTGTTGTTTAAGGATCATACAACATTATATTTTCTCCCACCCAAGTACCAAGCAGGCCCAACCTTGCTTAGCTTCCGAGACCAGACAAGATCAGCTGCATTCAGGGTGGTATGGCTGTAGATATATAACTGTATTTCTTCTAATTTATCTTGGCATCATTTGTGCTATTGTTGTCAGATATTTTAGTTTTGCATATGCTATCAACTATTTGTGCCTTAAACGGTCACTTATCTTTTAAAGCAATGGAAAGGAGAAAAGTAATTTTCAGTTATCTTCATTTGTTCCAATTTCAGTGCCCTTCCTTTTCGTGGTGTAGATGTAAGTTTCTGTTTGATATCGTATTCCTTGTTTCTAAAAACCTCCTTTTTAACATTCAATGTAGAATTGGGGTGACAATGAATTCCCTCAGTAGTTGTTTGTATGAGAAAGTCTTTGTTTCTCCATTACTTAAACACATTTTCTCTAGGCATAGAATTCTAGGTTGAATGTGTTGTTGTCTGGATTGTTTTTCAATTTATCATTTTAAAGATGTCATTGTATTTCCATCTACATTGATTGGTTTTACACAAGAATGGCTGACTACTTCCTCAATAATTCTTATACTTGTTACTCTGTATGGGATATCTTGTTTCCCTTTTGCTGTCTGCATTCAAGATTTTCCATTTGACTCTTATTTCCAGTAGTTTGAACATGATATAGCTAAATGTAGTGGTCTTGGGATTTATTCTGCCTCTGTTCTCTGAGATTCTTAGATCTGTTGTCTGATGACTGTCATTAGGTTTGGAAAGTTCGCAGGTATTATTTCTTCAAATGTCCCTTTAGCCTAATTTATATCTCTTCTTCTATGATTCTAATTACCCTTACATGCATTGTTCTATACATGTCTTAATGTTTTTTTGTTGTTGTTCTCTTTTTCTATCTTCTGTTTTGTTTGCTTGAAAATGTCTATTGAAACATCTTCAGGTTCCTTTGATTCTTTCCTTCTCTGATAAGCCTGCTGAAGTCACTGTTAATTTCTTTTATTGTGCTTATCATTTCTAGCTTTTCCATTTGATTGTGTCTTACAGTTCCCATCTCCCTGTTGAAACTACCTACTTTGATCTTGTAATTATTCAACTTTTCCATTAAAAACTTTATCATATTAAACATAGTTATTCTAAATCATCTATTAGATAATACTAAATTCGGTGTCATATCTTAGTCTCATCCTGATGACTGGTTTTATCTCTTGGTAGTATTGGCCTTTTCTTGCTTTTTCACATTTCTTAATGTGGTTTGTTTTTGAAAGCCAGAGATCTTGTAAAGGATAGTAAAGACTGAGATAAACAGCTTTTATGCCTGGGCACATTTTCTTTCTGCTTGGCCTTTAGTGCTGGGGCTTGAATTAACCTAGTTAGAAATTTGACCAATGAGATTTCTATTGCGATGGTTACTGCCAGCATATCACACTCTTCAGATCCCTGTAGCCGTACATTTTATTTAAAGAGGAGGCTGCTTCCCAGAGGCTTTTGGCTTCGTTTTTGTTTTCTCTGAATGCTCATCCATTCTCAGTTTCATGCCTTCTCTTTGCCAGCACCATGTCTTGGGTCTTCGGGGTGTCCCCTACACAGTGATCCTGCTCTTACCCTGGCTGTAGTTCTGAACCCAGCACACATTCCTGCCTACCTTCCAAGATAGGGACTTTTCTATCTGTTTGCTTTCCTCAGTTGCAATGAATCCTCACCTGTGCCCTAAGGGCATCCATGTTTTCTGTCCTTCCCAGCATAGGTTGAGGCTTTTTTTCCTGAGCAGAGATAGAGGAGCATCCTTCTCTGCATAAACTCCTGTTCCCCTCTCCTCTCAGCTCTGTACCACAAAGAACATTTAGTTACTTTTTTCCAATCTTGTCTGTGAGCACTCAGCAGGGTTCATGGAGAAGAATCCTTGAAAAGGGCATAGACTTCTCCAGTTTGTGTGAGTTTTAGGGGCCTCACATGTTCAACAGCACATGATCAGCTTCCGCCAATTTAACCAAGGACCCTTTCTGGGTACTGTGATTGGTGTCCAGTTGTGCCTGTCACAAGTAGTCCAGTATTCATACACCATCTCTGCCTAAAGATGCCTACCTTTCTTCAATTTTGGGCTAGGCGCTTGCCCTGAAAACTCAAGATTGCTGATGAATTTTTAAAAACTCATAAAATTAATTTCAATTTGTCTGGCTTATTTTTTTATTGTAATAATAATTATGGTGCTCTTTCTATCCCTAAGCATCTCAATTAATTTGGTAATATTTAAACCCACGTGGAATTCCTGAGTTACACAGGTGGATAATTAAATGAATTGTAAAAACAAAAACAAAAACAAAAACTATGTACTATAAATAACTTATATCCAGTTTTACATTTGTAAGTAATCCAATTCTGTGTTCAAGGACAAGGTTACAACCACACCAATTCCAGAATCTCAAACTTTGAATATCTGCTTTCTAGGGCCACTACTGGTACAGTATACATCAGAGTCTAATAAGAAAAACAGATATTACATTCTGTAATTCAACAGTGAACGTTTTACATAGAGTATTGTTAACCAAGATGTAGAATGATGAAAGAGCAAAAATGGAACAGCATGGTAACATAGAAGTAGTAACTGCAGGAAATAACTAATACCCATAAGGCTAGGAGAACAAATGGATAAAGACAGAGTTATCAAAATCTTGAATTTCATAGTAGGGGTCATGTACAGGCGGAACTAAGATCAGTGAAGACAGGTTGGCTCCTAGTTACTGCTGGTACCTCAAGAACTTAGAGAAAGGACCTTGCAGAACTGGGGATGAGACTTCTCTGGAGTAAGTATTGCTTGTCTGTTGCTGATATTCAGGAGATCCTCAAAGGGATCTTGTGGATCTGGGTTTGGATTTCCAAGAAATGCTGCTCAGCCTACTTACTGCTAGTGCTTCTGAGGGGCTCCTAAGCTGGTTTTAAGAGTGCTGAAAGAAGTTGAAGGCAGGAATCAGGTGTTGCTACTGCATTAAATTCCTTCGTTGGGTGACGCTAACAGATGTAACAGTTACAAAAGGAGACACATCCCTTTTTGTCCCTCTTCCTCAGGAGCCTGCCTTTTATTGGCAGATTCTAAAAGGAAGCCTTTGGATGGGGGAAAAATATATTTTGCCTAATTCAGTCCTGACATTATGACACAGAGTAAATAAATGTAGATAATTAACAGATAATCGTATAATTTTTAAAAATATACATGGCTTTGGAGAAAAGCTTAATGTCACATTTGGCTATATTTTGTATAAAATTTGGGAGAAATATATAAGTTCTAGCTCAAGGACAAGAAAGAGGGATTAATGTGGTGTATTTGTTTTGAAAGAGGGAAGAGAATATTCATAAATACTTAGATGTTATGTTTATATACAGTATGGAGACATAATGTATGTGTCAGTATGGCTTTAGTCCTCTATGGTCCCAGTTAAGGAAAACCTGGTGTATAATGTGTGTGGTGGAGGCCAGTTGTACATGGGCATGTGTTTCTGCATTCTTACTCCTCCCACAGTATTTGAACTTCAACCAAGAATATAACTTTTATATACATTTACTGCAAATCAATTCAAGCCTCATTTATTTTGTAATACAATTACCTTGTTAAGTATAAATCAGAGCACTACAGCAAATAATTACATAAAATGATATCAAATAAACATAAAACATAAAAATATGAGGTGAGGAGAGCTTAATGGAATTATATTATAAGAGGTCTTCTCTTTCTAAATGTTTTATCTTTCATAATAAAATAGTATATGGGAACCCACATGCAGTGAGCTATTTGTCTGTCCAGTGATAAAGGAGTAGAGCTACTGGAAATTTTTTCACTCCATGTCTCATTGTTCTTCCTGTATAGGATACAAACATATCATGGAGATGGTGAAATATTACTCCCTTTATAGGAAACGAAAGGATCAGAAGTGTTTTTTGCAATAGTTAAATAGTTTATATAAACCATGTTCTCTGGAATAAAGACAAATAGAAAAAATGGGTTGGCCCTTTTTTTTTATTTTTTTTATTTAAGAAAGATAAATAAGAACAAAAGCAAAGAGCTGGGTTTTGAAAGTCAAACTACAAATTGGCAGGCAGAAATTCCAGACTTCTCTCAAGCTCCTGAGTCTACAAATAATTGCCAGATAACCCAGACAATCAGGAAAAGAGTCACAAAAATAATTTGGAATCAAGAGCAAGAATCTATGAAAATGAGACTTATACTGAAAAACCCTGCTAAGAGGTATGTATGTTAAATGTATTGCTTAAATTCAATCCCTCAAATGCATTTCTGATTGATAAGCAAGTTCCAGAGACTAGAATAAGAAATAAAAGATAAGGGAAAACAATCTTCTCTACAAATTGCAGATACTACCTGAAGGTTAAAGAGCATATTTCTTCTCTTTGAGACAGGGTCTTGCTCTGTCGTCCAGGCTAGATGCAGTGGCATGATCATGGCTCACTGCAGCCTCGACCTTCCGCGCTCCGGCAGTCCTCCCACCTCAGCCTCCTGAGTGAGTAGCTGGCGCCATAGGCATGTGCCACCACAGGTGGGTAGTTTTTGTAATATTTGTAGAGATGGGATTTCGCCATGTTGCCCAGGCTGGTCTCAAACACCTGAGCTCAAGTGATCCACCTGCCTCAGCCTCCCCAAAGTGCTGGGATTACAGGTGTGAGCCGCTATGCTTGGCCAAGAGCATATTCTTAACACAAAAAATAGTGACCTTTCTAGAAAAAGCAATGTTATCAAGTTAATAAGAAATTGATTTGAAATCCTGCGTGCTTAAGATGGGAAATCGGCCTCATTCCCATGTTTTTTGCTCTTGGAAATTTACATTCAACAAAATGTGGTCATCCTGTTTCTATCAGATGTTGATAATAGTAATTTCCCAAAATGTTAGTTTCTCAGTCTTGATATTTTTCATAATAAATAAACCTATATAGGAGTCCTTGACTAACACTAGTTTTGGAATTCCCTAAATGGTTTAGAATCAAAGGCAATTGTCCTTGCCTTGAGCCAAGGCTTGGCAGGATCACAATTGTTTTGATCCAAGGTTCCTGAAGGATGCCTGAGTTACAAGCTCTTCTGTTGGTCAATACTCAGCTGTCAGGATATGACCTGGAAGTTGATTGAGTAAATAAAGTCCACTGAGCCAAGAAATTCTAATTCCCTAGCCACGTCTCCATCTATGACTGCATATACTCATTTCTGCTAAAGCTGGGCCTGGATTTTCCATAACTTCACAAGGGAATCTTGCATTTACTGACACAAGGCAGTCAAAGCTGAATGAAGCACAATCCCTGCTCTTAGGTGGCTTATAGGTTTTGGAGGGGATACAGGCATACAAAAAGAGAGGAGAAATCCATATTATGTATCAAATGCTGTAGTGAAGTTATGCCTAGGATTTGATGGGAACTCACTGGAAGAATGAGAATGGGATAGTAGAATTCCATTCCAAAATGGGTGCTCAAAGATGTAAGCTTTAAGTCTTGAAACATGAAAAGGGTCTTCAGAAGCAAAAAAATGAGGTGATAGAAATATTAATATTGACGTTTAACATTATGGAATGCTTATTTGTGCAAGTAACTGTGCTAAATTATTTGCATGCACTATTACATTTAATACCCTAAACAACCCTATGAGGTAGATGTCATTACTATTTCCATTTTATTATACTAATAAGAAAAGGGTAGCTCAGCATCATTAAGTGGGAACTCAACATTCTTAGAGTCAGAATCAGAGTATCTAACTCTAATGTACTTGCTCTTAAATACCATGGGTCCTCCCTCCCCTATGACACTAGAGGGAAGAACATTGAGGCAAATAGAAGTGTATGATGAGATGTGTATGATGTGAGCTGAGCAAGAACACAGCAAAGTAAGAAAATGAAAGTACAATGGAGGGGCAAGAAGGGGTCAGATCAGAGAAGACCTTGAATGCTGTAGTAAGAAGCCTGGATTTTTAAGTGGGAAATAGTTGAAGATCATTGGATGACATTTAGCTGGAGAGATGCCATAATATAGTAAATTTACACCAGCACAACTGTGGATATTTGGATTAAAGACAGATGAGAACAGGAACAGAGAAACAAGTCCAAAAGTTGTATAATTCAGGTTGAAAATAAAGAGATCCTGGAATAATGCAGTGGCGGTTGAATGCAGAGATGAAGCAAGAATTAACAGCCATTTGAAGGTAGAGATGTAGGACTTGTTGAACAATGTGCGTTAAGCCAGCCGGGAATAGGAATCTTAAATACTTCCTTGGTATCACAATTAGGTAACTGGATAATTGATTGTATTATTCATTTAAATATAAAATACAGGAGGAAAAAGATAAGTTTCTGAAGGAAATAATGAGTTTAATTTTGTTGTCCATGAGACCCAGGATACATTGAGAGGTACCTTTGGAGAGAATGCTTTGCTGGGAAGGTAGAGAGAAAATTTTATCAGTATATAGGTGTTTGGTTTAGATGCCACAGATATTGCCTTGTCATTTTATAAAGACTAGTATGCAGTGCCAGACTATTTAGTAATATATCTTCTTATGTTTTTAACTAAGAATGATGATAACACATGCAGAATTTTGATAAAATATACTATCACAATGGTAGATCTATTTTTTAATGGCGGCTCGAATCCCAAACTTCTCCGTAACTCTTTGACATGGGACTTTATGGCTTCTCCATTCATCATCAACTGGTGGAATATATTCCTCCACCCCTTGAATCTGGGCTGATCTTTAACTCACTTTGGCCAATAGAATGCATTAGAAGTTCTGAACCCAGGCCTCAAGAGACCTTTCATGCTTCTATTCTCTCGGTTTCATGGAACCTCATGACCATTATGATAAAAAGTCAGGACTAACCTGCTGCAGCATGAAATGTCCAGGATAGACAAATCTATCAACTCAGAAATATATTACTGAGGAGAGCTGGGGTAAATGGGGAGATTTGGTTGAAGGCCAAGAAGTGCAGTGTTTTTTGGAGGGACGATGAAAATATTCCAAAATTGATTGTAGTGATGGATGCTCCATTGTGTAAATATGCTAAAAACCATGGCATTATATTAAAAGGGCAAATTGTACAGTGTGTGAATTGTGTATCAAAGCTGTCTAAAAAATAAAGAAAACAAAACACGTCTTTAAGTTTTCAGAATGTTCACTGCAGGTTTCCTTCACATATTGAATTGCCCTAGTGAATTACCTCAATGGATATAATGAGATTAAGTTTATAAAACCTATTACTCTTGTATAAAGCAAGGCCCTGCAGTGTGAGAATTCAGCAGATTATATTGCTACCTGTGGTCCAGCAAGGTCTCTTTTGTAAGAGAAATCCTATAAATCTGTCAGCTGTATTTTTTCCTCATAGGACTATTTGGTGTGAGGCTAACTTTAACCCCAGAAATGTTTCTTACAATTTCCTCCCTGGGAGTCTGCCTTTTATGGCTGCTGATACACCTTAATGGCTTTTGGCAGAGATGAAATTAGAGAACACAGAAAATATTATCAAGGATGGCCCTGGGGTCTAGGAAGGCCATACCACCAGCAACACTGTTTTGTTTCAGGCTTTTAGTACTTTTTTCTTGGTTGCTATAATCTAAAAGACAGTGGCATTTCCTCATAAAATATCGTGCAGCCTTAAATTCAGGCAATTACCTGCTGGAAAAGGCATTGTGTGGCCATGGTGAGGTAGCCAGAATGTGGAGAGAGTTTGGGAATAAGGGAGGTACTGCCCCAATCCTGCCTACCCTGCTTACAAATGGTTAAACCCGTGCATCTGCCAATTCATCATTTTTATCTCTATACGATTGAATAGATCTTCGTGTGTGTATGTGTTTCCAAGGAAAGTCTGGCTTCAGCTAATACTGAGCTTTAAATAGCAAATCTTGGCTTTGGTGCTTTATTGGAAATATTTCCAATTACTTCAATACCATTTTTATTTTGGGCTGCCATGTGCTGGTACTGGAAGGAATATGGAACATAAGGACCCTTGGTGTTCCAGGAAACTCTGTCTTCGTTACAGTTATAGTTAAATCTATGGACCCAGATCCACCCTACCAGCTGTAAGTAGACCATCTCTGCCCTAAAATCAGAATGAACTTAGTAATCTTTGATCACAGGAGACTCTATCTACTGATGTCTCCTCCGATATCAGGCATTCGTCTCCGACATTATACCTGCCCTTCTCTCTAAGACCACCAGCCTTATACCGCAGTCTGACCCCTGTATAAGGAGAGGATATATATGTGTGTGTGTGCATGTGTGTAAATATATCAAAGAATTAGCAGGGAAAATAACATTGTTAGAGGTGTAATAAGAAAACTCACTGGTTTTAGAGTCAGAAAATCTGAATTTTAAACCATCTTAGCAAAAGGATGAGATATAGAAAAATTCTCATTTTCTTAACCTAAAAAATGGCCACAAAGACTGTACCAATTGCAGCCTTGTCCTGAAGATGAAGAAATACAATAAGATACAGGAAATTATTATAAATATAGGATCGTCTTTGATAATGATAATTTATGTGCCCCTTGGTTCAATTTTGTGTTGGTACCAGCCAGAGGATGACTTCCTTCCTCAGGGGCGTGACTGAGTCTTTCCTATGCAGAATAAAAGTCTCCCTTCCAATTGTTTCAAACCGGAGAGCAACCAGGGCAATGTCTGAGCATCCAAAAGTGTGAATCAGCCTTGCACTTTCTGTTCTGTCTGCATTTTCAATGGGATTCAGGCAGCTGACCATCTCAGAACAGGCTCTAGCTATAAAGCTTAATTATGTGAAATATGCACCCTGGGGGCACTGGCAGCTCTCAGTGGAGAAAATTTGGGAAATGAGATTGGGGAATTGGATTGAAGTAGTTAAATGTTGCCAATTTGCACTTTCCAAGTTAGGGACCAAGACTACTACTTAAAGGATTAATACATAAACATGTTGGTTCCCCTGAAAGACATGCCATTATTAAACAAATTTCAGTAATTAAAGACCAGTCTCTTCCATGCAAATAGCATTCCTTTGGCCTAAATGCATGTAATCAATCTATAGCCTTGTGTCATTGAGGTAGCTGTGCCAAAACATGGTTCTCAAAAAGGCAGAGAGAGAAACTCTTAAACATCCCTTTAATGTTCGGCTACCTGGGCAATGGAACTCTACCCATTGCTTGAGACTAGAATATGCTGCAAAAATATACCGTAGTTTAGGATGGCATAATCTGACCTACACTTTAAGATGCAAATGCAGCTGTCTACCTCAGACACCCTGATATATTAGAAAATCAGCAGAGGATGACTTTGAAACCTTGAGGCTCAGCTCTCAGATTTCTTTTCCCTTCCATTAATCATACAATGTCCTTCAGGTGTTTTATTTTCCCACCTTAATTCTCCCATTCTCATTGACCTCACCCCCAGCCACATCCCATGAAAGAATCTGGTAGAAGTCATTTACTCTTTATAGTGACTTTAAATTAGGAAGGTGGAATCCCTGTAAAAGCATGTGAGTTTTATCACAGTGTCAACTCACATAGGAAATGATGATCTGGGTCATTACACTGAGATTCTGAAGCAGCATTCTAGGCTCAAAGTGGAGTTTATGGTGGAGGAAGGTGCAACGATCAATGACCAATGGCTAATGTCTTAGAACTTTAAGCCAAACCTGAAAGGATGTTTTAACAGACTCCTCTTTCTGCTTCATTAGTGGGGAAAGTGAGGGCCCTGTTCGCCCGGCTGCGGCAAAAGGAACAAGGGGTTGTCTACATGCATTCAGACCAAAAGAACTCTGTTTCAAGGAAGAGATTAGTCCTAAGTTATTAAAATTTATTTAATTATAGCACATAGCTTGCTTTCAAAGTAGAAAATTTTATTTTGTACTTCATTTCTGTTACCACCTAAAAAGCAACCTTCTGTAAAGATTCTGGTGTGAGATAGTTCCACTGCAGTATGAATTCGAGGGAGCGAGGTGTGATATTTAGAATGGGAAATAGGTTTCAATCTTAAAGGTTGCCTGAAGCAATGAATTGAGGAGGATACTGAGACCGCGCCATGGCTCTATTAACTGATTATCAATATCTGCTTTGGGCATAAGAAGACAGGACTTGGAAAACTGATGACTTGTTGATTGTTGTTTAGTAAAAAGAATACCTGAGACTTTGTTCTACACGTAGCTCTGCTTCTGACAAATTGTCTTATCTTAGTCATATCATGTTACCATTTGGGCTTTGACCAGGACCAGAAGATTATTTACTAATGCATAGAATTATAAGTTTTATTTTCTTTTAAACTTTATTTGGACATGATTTCAGACTTATGAAAAGTTGTAGGAATTGAACAAGACATCTTCACATACTCTTCACCCAGATTCCCCAAATGTTAACATTTCCTCTTGTGCTTTTTGTTTCCTGTGTGTACTCACATGAAAACGTTCTCTCATTCTCACTTCCTCTCTCTACAGGCCCTTCTGTTTTCTTCCTCTCTCTTTTCCATGTGTCTATCTATGCCTCGATCGATATCTACACACACACACACACACAGACACACGTGTACATACTTTTTGAAACATTTAAGAATAAATTACAGATGTGATGCCCCTTTGTTCCTTTACAGTATATTTCCTAGAAGTAAGACTATTCTCTTATATAACCACAGTACAGTTATCAAAATCAGAAAATTAATATTAAAGCAACATTCTTTAGTTTCACCATTGTTCCAATGATTTCCAGAGGAAAATCAGATTATTTGTTGCAAAAAGTTATCATGTTTCCCTAATTTTCTTTAATCCAGAAGCCTTCTTAAATTTGTACTGCATGATACTAACATTAAAAAAAAATAAAATGCAGGTATTTTGTAGAATATACGTAAATTGGGCCTGTCTGATATTTCTTTTCTTTTCTTTTCTTTTCTTTTCTTTTTTCTGAGACAGAGTCTTGCTCTGTCACACAGGCTGTAGTGCAATGGCGCGATCTCTGCTAACTGCAACCTCCTCCTCCCAGGCTCAAGCAACTCTCCTGCCTCAGCCTCCTGAGTAGCTGGGATTACAGGCACTCACCACCATGCCTGGCTAATTTTGTATTTTTAGTAGAGACAGGGTTTCACCATGTTGGCCAGGTTGGTTTTGAACTGCTGACCTCAAATGATCCGCCCGCCTCAGCCTCCCAAAGTGCTGGGATTACAGGCACGAGCCACAACTCCCTGCTTGATACTTCTAAATGATTAGGTTCAGATCATTATTGCCTGGAATTCTACTAAGGGATTTTTCTGTCCTTCTCGGTGAATCACGTTCGGAGGAACGTGGTGTGGGCTTACCACCTTTCTGGTGATATTCACTATGATCACTTGGTTTCTCCAAGGTACAGGTTCTTATGCTTCCCCTTTTTAATTAATAACTTGTAAAGATATATTTTGAAACTATGTAGTTTCCTTTCAAATAGTTACTTGTCAATATTTTACTTAACAGTTTCATTACCTCTTGAGGAGTCTTGCCTCAGACAAGGATTACAATAATGACTGCCACTCGATTTTCTAATTCCATCAGTCCTACATTTATTACTTTAATGTCTGCTGTAAAGAAGAGCTTTATTTATTTATTTATTTATTTATTTATTGTTATGCACATGGACTCATGAGTTATTAATTTATTGTATGGATTAAAATTTTTACTATCATGGGTTTAAATATACTCAAATGATCCCAGATTTAGCAAGTGTTGCCCCACAGAACTGGCATTCATTGAGCACTTCATCACGTTATGACACAAAATAATATTTCAGGTACATCTTTTATTGTTCCACTCTATCCCTGAAATCAGCCGTTTATCCAAAATGTCTGGACTTTTTAAGTGGAAAATGTGATTAGAAATCAAGATGTGGCTACTAGGTATGCTCATTGCTACTAGGGTATTATCGCTTCTAGGCTCTCTCAGTGGATAGAGTTAGAAGCCATATAGATATACAAATATATATACAAGGATACATATACACTCATAGGTTTATATCTATATGTATTTCTTAACAGATTTACATTTAAAGATATATATGTATATATATACACAAAATCCTACACAAACATACACATATGTATGAATATACATGCAGCCTAAAGCATTCTTAACTACTTCTTTATTTATGTGTATTAAAATCCAGTTCACACTCATTCTTCCAAATACTAGAGCATTCATACTATCCTTCCGCATTTCCATATTTAAAGCTTCCTTCTCTGACAATGAGAAATCTGGCTTCTAGTATCTACAATATATTTACTTATTTGCTTAGATCTAGAATACACAGAAAGTAGTTTTAGAACTGTTAACCCATCTATCTGTGAAAAAGAAACCTACTAACCAGAGTCCAACATATTTCCAAAGTTAATTTTGTCTTTGGCCTGAAGTGTGTAATCTAAATGCTGTTGAAAATTACCTGATTTTGTTCTTTTTTTTCTCTTCCTCCAGTGTGGTTACATGACTTCTCCAAATATGGTTTAAAAAATGCATTTCTGTTTGTATTTTGTTTTAGACTTCCCCACATATTGTTTTATTTATTATTTATTTCCCTTCATTTAATTATTTGAAACATTAGCAGGGGTCTAAAAGTCAGATGGTTCAACATGGTATGCTTGGAGAAGCTTCATTCTCCACCCTATCCCCATTCCTTCCATTCTTTCCATTGTTCTCACCCAAGCAATGTAACTAACCAATTTCATTAATCTCTAAAGAATCTTTCCTATATGTACAATAAAAAGATACATCCATATTTTCTCACTCCCCCATCTTTCTTACACAAAAAATAGCATATGTTTTATATATATAGAAGTTTTTATTGTATTTGAATGTGTTGAAACACATATCTGCATTTTTTTCAATTTATTTTAGCACTTATAGAGCACTTATGATACTTCAGGTACTGTACATAAGTGGTGAACAAATCAGAGAAAATCTCCATTCTCACAGAATTTATGGGCTAGCAGAAAAGATAGATATTAATCAAGGAATTTCAGTACTTTTCCTTCTTTTTAAACTGCATGATTGTTAGTATTTTTTCTGTGTTTTTTTTATTTTAACTTTTCTATTTCATTAGCTTTAGAGCTACAAGTGATTTTTGGTTATGTGGATAAACCGTATAGTGATGAAGTCTAGGATTTCAGTGTACCATCACCTGAGTAATGTACAATGTACCCTTTAGATAGTTTTTTTTCCTTCATCCCCTTCCCCACTCTCCACTTCTGAGTTTCCAAAGTCCATTATGCCACTCTGTATGCCTTTGTACCCATTCCTCAGCTCCCACTTATAAGTGAGAACATGTGATATTTGATTTTCCATTCCTGAGTTACTTCACTTGGAATAATAGCCTACAGTTCCATGCAAGTTGCTGCAAAAGACATTATTTCATTCTTTTTTTAATGGCTGAGTAGTATTCCATGGTATATATATACACCACATTTTTTTTATCCACTCTTCAGTTGATAGGCATTTAGGTTGATTCCTTGTCTTTGCAATTGTAAATTGTCCTGCAATAAACATACAAGTACAAGTATCTTTTTTGATATAACAACTTCTTGTCCTTTGGGTAGCTACCCAGCAGTGGGATTGCTGGATTGAATGGTAGATCTACATTTTGTTCACTGAGAAATTGAAATCTCCATACTGTTTTCCATAGAAGTTGCACTAACTTACATTCCCACCAGCAGTGTATAAGTGTTCCCTTTTCACCACTTTTGCACCACTATCTATTGTTTTGTGACTTTTTAATAATGGCCATTCTGTCTGGGGTAATGTGGTATCTCACTGTGGTTTTAATTTGCAATTCTCTGATGATTAGTGATGTTGAACATTTTTTAAATACGTTTGCTGGCTATTTGCATATCTTCTTTTGAGATATGTCTACTTATGTATTTTGCCCCCTTTTAATAGGATTATTTGTATTTTTCTTGCTGATTTGTTTAAGTTCTTCTTTGTAGATTCTGGGGACTAATTGTTTGTTGGATGCATAGAAAATATTTTCTCCAATTCTGTAGGTTGCATGTTTACTCTGTTGGTTATTTTCTTTTGCCTTGTGGAAGCATTTTAATTTAAGTCCCATTTATGTATTTTTGCTTTTGTTGCATTTGTTTTCAGGTTGTTAGTTATAATTTCTTTGCCTAGGTTAATGTCCAGAAGAATTTTTTCTAGGTTTTCCTCTAGAATTTTTATGGTTTTTTTGGTCTTAGATTTATGTATTTAATCCATCTTGAATTGTATATGATGAGAGATATGGATTCAGTTTAATTCTTCTACATGTGGCTATCCAATTTTCCTAGAACCATTTATTGTATAAGATGTCTTTTCCCAAGTTTATGTTTTTGTGTGCTTTGTCAAAAATCAGTTGGCTGTAAGTATTTGGCTTTATTTCTGGGTTCTCTATTTTATTCCATTGGTCTGTGGATCTACCTTTACACCAATCCCATGCTGTTTTGGTTACTATAGCCTTTTAGTGTAATTTGAATTTGGGTAATGTGATGCCTCTAGATTTGCTCTTTTGGTTTAGGATTCCCTTGGCTAAGAACAGTATGCTTTTT
The DNA here is from genome assembly GCF_000001405.40 of Homo sapiens. NCBI lineage: Eukaryota > Metazoa > Chordata > Mammalia > Primates > Hominidae > Homo > Homo sapiens. The sequence continues at coordinate 107,447,131 of NC_000010.11, read as the reverse complement.
CTAATCTTTCTATTTTGGCTTTTTCACTTAACTGTATTTCTTGAAAATCACTCCATGTCATAGAAATCTTTCTCTTCCTCATCATTCTATTCTGGATATATTGAGTCCATTCTGTGGATATACCTTAGTTTACTGAATCTCCCTCCTATGTATGAGCACCCAGTTTGTTTCCAGTATTTTTTATTTATAATCAATGCTGTAATTAATAACCTCACACATATGTATTTTTTTATATTTGGAGATGTATCTACAGGAGTAATTTTTAGAAATTGATTTCTGGTCTGAAATGTGAACATACATGTAGTTTTATAGGTTATTGACAAGTTCTAGTTCATTTTCATAAGGTGCTTACTAATGTTTTTTCATACTGAATTGTATGAGAGTGACTATTATCTACATCTTCACTGAGTATGTTGTCATATGATTTTTTTCATTTTTGCCTATCTGATACTTGAGAAAGGGTAAGTCAGTACAGTTTTATTTTCGTTTTTCTCATTATGAGGGAGGTTAAATGTCTTTTTTGTATTTACATTCTTCTTGTGAACCATCCATTTATATCTTTTGCCCATTTGCTATTATATTTTTGATAATATTTCACTCATTCAAAAAGTTTTTTATATTTAAGGACATGAATTTTTATCTGTGATATATATTGCAAATATTATCTCACAGTTTTTCTGCTGTGCTTTGAGTTTGAGTATACAGTTATTTTTTGCCATGTAATTATTATTTTAATATCAGTTTTGTCAAAATTGTTAATATTTTATTCTGTTACATCTACACAGGCAAGATTTTAGATATTATTATTTTGGCCCCATTAAATAAATGAGAAAATTGAGCCCCAGAGACATAAAATTGTCTAAAACCACAATATAGATAGACATATATATATAAAATATACATTAAAAAGAATATATACAAATATTTATTCACACACATATATTACATAAGCCAAATCATATTCATATAAAATACATATACATGTAAAATTAAACATATTGAGCTATTTGTTTCTGGGGAAACAATGGTGAATATAAGAAGACATCCTTGTCCTAATGAACTTGTGCTCTCAGAAATATATTTTAAATGTAGTTACAAATAAAGAAAAATTCTAACAAGTTAGCATTTAATTTTTGTGCTTTTATAGCACATCATAGAAATGATTGATCCTGTCAGGGAGGTTGTTACGAATTTTTCTGAAGAAATGGGCTGAAATGAGCTTGGATATAAAGGATGAGTAAGCATCAATTAGGAGGTGATTGGGGTGGAGTAGAGGACTGGACCAGAGAGAGGACACCATGTCTGTAGAGAGTATGTTGAGTGGAAAGGGCCTAAAGCAGCCTGGTGGTTGTTGCAATGAGGGAAATGACAGAGCATGGGATGTGATGGGCCTATAAAGAGAGAGCTCAGATAATTGATGTGGTTCTTGAAGATTAACATTTCATTTACAGTGGGAAAAAGTGAATGACAACCCTATTTTTTGTTGTGTGCATAAAGCTTCCAGCTAATTGGGAAAGTGGAGAATTGTTGTATTGGGGTAAATCTGGACTGAAGAGATCAATTCAGAAGCTCTTGCAGCAGGCTAGGCTTTTACTAGAGTGTTGACGTTAGTGATTCTTTAATTCAAAATTTAAATATTGAGTTCCTGTTATATGGTGGGCCCTAAATTAAGGGATGAAAATGAAAAAAAAGGTGGATAGATATGAACAATATTTAAGGGGAAAAATAGATAATATGTATGATAAATTTGATATGAAACGTAAGGGGGGCTATTTTCGGGATATCACGTAAGTTTCTGGTTTGAGGGAGAAGAATACATAGTGATTTTGGAGGAGGTTCATGCTTGGGAAAGAAACTCAGCCATTTAGACTAGACATTTTGGGAACTGATGAAGATTATGAGACATCTTTTGGGAGATGTCAAAGGTTTAGCTGGTTAAGTGAGTCCAGAGTTTGGGGGAGATGTCTGAGTTAGAGTCGCGGGCCAGTTTGTGAGATGCCTGCAAAAAGAGGGCATTCAAGGCTGTAGCTGTAGGTGAGGTCTTCTAGAGAGAGATGATAGAAAGAGGAAGGATCAAAGCTTATACTGAGCCTTGAGGGACAGCAGCATTTAATGACTGTGGGTGAAGAGGAATAAACTTGGCGATAGAGATAAGAAGGAAACTAGAATAGTATAGAATCATGGAAACTAACTGGATATAGCTTTTAAAGAAGCAGGATGTATCAATAGTGTCCAATACTTATAATAGGTGAAAAATGAAGACAGCTGAAACTACTCATTGGTTTAGTTACGTGGAGCCCATTCTTGACTATAGTAAAACTTCTTGGGGTGGAGTGATGGTGCTGTAGCTAAAATAGAGTGGTTTGGGAGCAAGAGAGAGGTGAGGAAGGGGAAGAGACATCTGGGGAAGTTTGGCTAGGAAGAGGAGAGAGGGAGACTGGAAGCTGGATAATTGTCCAATGAAAACATGCAAGTTTGTTATGGGGCTGAAATTCTTAAATTTTTTGTTCGTTTGTGGTTTTCTTTAGATTTCATGCTTCAGCAAACCACACAGGTATAGATCTCACATTGTCACAGAAAGTGCTCCAGAGGTCAGTTAAGGGAATCCACCGAAGCTCTGAAATACACATGAAGATCTTACACTAAGCAAATCTTTTCAGGGAATAAGTGCCCAGGTTGCTGTTGGAAGGGTTCCTAGGATGGGAAGATATCGTTTGACAACCAACATGAAGGTTTATCTTTATTAACCAAAGTGCAGCTCTGGGGGAACATCTCAATAGGAATAAATGATGTTTTGGTTAATGCAGCCAGCATTCAAAAGTAACAAATCCACTGCTTTACATGGCAAGAAATAGTGACAGCTCTATTTTCCCTAAATAATACATCTCATTAACTGAAGCTGTCTACTTCCTTAGCATTAACTCAATGCTGCCACTTGGATAAATACAAACTGCCTGAAACATATATTTTTTTTATGATCCCCCAAACCCTGCTTCTCTATGGCTTCTTTTGTTTTTATTGAGTGAGTTTATGGTGGTAAAAGTTTGCAAAGTGAAACTTGTCACTTTCTGGTGCTAGTAATTTAGCACCTAATGAGCTAAACTCCTAAGCACTGGAGAAGTGCAGTAGCTCAGGAGCTGATGCTGGGGACACAAATGGGGTTGACATTAAAATGGACTGCACGTGACTCAGACATGGAAATCAGGCTGAGAAAGCATTCTTCAGTGTGTATGTGAGAAGGAACCAGCAGGGAATACTGAAGTCAAATTATTGGAAGATGTTAAACCACCTTGGCAGGCCAGGTGGTCTTGGGAAACGCAACATTTCGGCAGGAAAACATAAATGCTTGTCCTCACCTAGGTCCGTGGGCACAGGCCCCGGGGTGGACCCCAAACCAAGGACCACGCCCTTCCCTTACCAGCACTTCCCTGCCCCCTCCTGTATCAGTTACATCCTGTAAATTTTAGTTTATATTATTTTAAATCTCATCTTATGTAGAGTTATTTTTTCCTATGGCTGATCCATGCATTCGTGTGTCTCTACTGAGAAGTCTTACAATTTCTTCTGCCAGGAATCCAAGAATTCATTGGTCCTGGGTGAGTTTTTTGTTTATATCTCAAATAGCAATTTCAAATTCATGTGCAGTTCTTAAAACTGAGTCACAAGTCCTATGCAGTCTAAGCATAGATAAAAATTTTTCCATGTTTTTTTTCAAAAGCTCTTTATATACAAACACTTTCACAAGCATTGGTTATTTCAGCAGCTATTTAAAATAGGGATCATTTCATCAACTTACCAAAGAAAGAAGATGAATATTAGAAGTTAATTCAGCAAGTCTATTCACAACCTGATAAGAAAATTGAAGTAGAATTTTGCTTTGTATTTGTTAAATTTTAGTTACTTCATGTTTTTATATATCTGTATACAAACTCATGACATAAGTTAAGCTACAGACTTAGCATATGATAAAAAGGATGGAAATAATTAGCTGAAATTTTGAGTAAAATATATGTGTTACACCTCTTGGTTGAGTACACCCTATATTTTATTCTAAGTATATAGTTGGAGAGTTGTGCAAAGCTACAAATATAAGAATGTTCATTACTACATTGTTTATAGTATTGGAACATTTTGAACAACATTAATGTTCAACAATAAGTAATTGGCTAAATAAATTATGACACATCTATGTGATGCAATATGATAAAACTATTAAGGTATTATCTTATTTAGTTGCTTTCAAAAGTTCCAGGATACTATATTATAAGCCCATTTTTGAGAAAAAAAATTGGAGAAAAATATGTAGTTTTACATAGAAAAATTTACAACGCTTTTTAGATGGTAGATTTATGAATATTTTTTATTTTCTTCTTCATGCTTGAGTTTTTTATTTTCTCTCAGTATACATAATAATTATGCAGTCAAATAATTTAAAAGAATAAAATACATATTAATAAAGATTTTGAACGTTTAATATATTTTTCTGAGTTAGGTTTTGCTGAAATTATTGCTTACAATTGGCTAATAAATATGAAACTAGTATCTCATAATTCTTTTTTTTTCCAACTGAGAGCCAATTAGTCAAGTTAATATCCAGCTTTTAGAATTAAAACATGATATATGAATAATTTATAAATCAATTTTGTGTGCTTCTCTGCTGAGGTCATGTACCCACCCACGGGCTGCCAAAAATCGGAGAGAAAACAGACAATGTGCTCTCTTGGATGGACTGTCATCTACATTCTTATCCAGAGTCATTGTTATCCCACTCAAGCCTGTCTCCCGACACAGCACACACTTACGGGCTCCTTTTGAGGTTCTAATCGTAAAAAGTATTCTGCTTTGTCTTTTTTGCCATCAATAAGAGCTGATCACATGGAGGGAATATGATTCTCTGAGCAACTAATAGCCCAGAGAGAACCTCCTTGACAGAATGGAGACTGTGTGGTCTCAAATTTCTGTGAGTAACTGTTTCACTTTGTGTAGCTGTGAGTGAAATTCTGAGTCATAACCCAGCTTACAGATCAGCTGACTGGTCTGAAGAATACCAAACACTAAATGGCTAAATGAGTGGTATAAAACATGCATCATGACAGTAAGTTAATTCCTTAATGTATAAAATCTTGCATTCAATCAATTTGTATTGAATTTCACTGTGTTGTGTTGAATTGAACTCATCTGAGAATGCTAAATGCCATGAATGAACCTACAGATGAACCTTAAAGTGAGTCTTTCTATAATGGTGAAAAGGCTGGGACCTTAAGAAACTCTTTAACTCTTTCTCCTTACCCCCAATCTCCTCTTCTTACTGTCTACTTTATAATTCTTTCTCATCCAAATTAAACAATATGTGTGCCCAGGTATTTTTTGTTCCTGTCCTTGAAATTTTACTTATGCCATTTATTCTACTTCAAATGCCTTGACCATTCTGCTTATTTCGATCCTACCTTATTAAATGTTGCCTCCTAGAAATATTGCTTGATTGCCTTCGAAGTCTAGCACATCTTAGTACAACCACACATACCCAATGTATGGTGGGCCTTAACGGATGCTGACTGCATTAATGAAGCAATGGATATATTCTAGCATGTAATGCATAAGACATACATAAACCACATTTTTACAAATACCTTAGTGTTTATATATTAAATGCATTTTCTTCCTTATTTGATTCTAAGCCATTGGGGACCAAGGATTGTGTCACTGATATCTCTGTACTTTGCATCTTTTCTCTAACAGCAACTGGCACAATTTTTGGAGTAGATTGGGAATTTAACACAAATTGATTAAATGCAATATTTTATACATTAAGTGAATTAACTTATTGCCATACTCCATATTTTACAACACTTATATGACAGTGTTTTCATGTTGCCATGTATTTTTTCATTTTCTTTTCCTTGAATAGTAAATCAATTGAAGAAAACCTGTATCTTGTGCCTATTTATACATGCTTTACCTTTTTCCACTACTTTCATGTCTGAAGCTGCAAAACTATTATTACTCATTCACTATGTATTTGATGAATAAATCAATAAGTCATGATGTAAACAGGTACTTTCAAATTCATTCATTCACTCTTTCTTCGTCGTATTTTGGAGTACCTCCTCTGAGCCAGACATTAACTTATTCATTGTGTATCCTGAGGAATCAGCAGTCTGCTCAGTTAGCTGTGTGTGTATGTGTGTGTGTGTGTGCACGCGCGTGCATGCAGACTCATAGAGAAGTTCATTGTCTGCAGAGCTAAATGGGTATTATGTTTAACAGAGAGTAGAGCTAACAATCTGCCTTCCTAATATGATAATTGCAATAAATTTGTGCAGAGGGCATGGGTAGAACTTAAGATTTCAGCAGAATGGTCTAGGATGTTCTGAACCTACAACCACATTTTGGTCCTGAGTACACACCCAGACGAAGGGGTTGAAAGTTCAGTTTTAAGGTCTAGAAAGGATAGCATAGAAGGCCATGGTGCAGGCAAGACATCTACTTAGAAAATTCTAGCAGCAGACATTTAGGACTGGGACAACTCTGAAATGAAGGCACTCAGCCATTTGGTATGGTAGAAATATGTTATGGGGCCATGGATTTGTGTAAAGCATTCATTGTAAGAAGCTAGAATTAAAACAAACAAACAAACAAAATCACACAAAAAATAAGAAATTTATGAAGCTATCATGATACTAAAATTTAACATTTGCTTGGTGAAATAAATAGAGAAAATAAGTTGTTTCTTTGATAACAATAATAAAATTATACTCCCCATCAAGACTTATCAACAAAAAATATAGATTAAGTAATGAAAGATAATTTCAGATTTATATTGATATTAAATATAATGAGTACTTAATATGATCAGCCATCATTAAGAGTGGTGAAATATTAAATGATTTCCTGCTGAGTTATGGACAAAGAAATGTATGCCCTCTATAATCACCTTGGTTTAACCTACTGGAGGTTTTAACCATTTCAATAAGATAAGAAAAAATAAATAAAAGGCATGAATTTACAAAAATTTGAAAAAACAAATATCTCAATTTTTTCAAATGATGCATATGTCCTTAAAATATCTAAAAGAAACCTACATAAAAATATTAAATTAATAAATGAATTTAGCAAGGCAGCAAGGTTTATATATAAAAGTCAGTTTATATATCAGCAACAAAGAAATATAACCAGAAACTTTAAAAATCAATACTATTTCAAATGGCATAAAAGTCATCAAATATTTGGGAATAAATCTTCGTTAAAGTATCCAACAGTATGCAAAAAATCACATGTGATTGCTTTAAAATATTTAAAGTTATGTTAATGTGGGCATTTATCTTTTACATGGATTGGAAAAATCACTATTGTGAAAATATTTCAACTTCTCTCAAATTTTTATAATATCAATACAATCACATTATAGATATCATGGTGTTATGAAAGTGATGAGTTTATTCTAAAATACACATGGCATTTCATAGTGGGAAAAAATAGCCAAGACAATCTTCAGGAAGACCAAACCTGGAGAACTTACACTACGGGAAAAAAACTTTTAAATATAAGCTAGTATAATAGCAACAGTGTGGTACTGGCACAAAGATTGACAAATAGAACATTCAAACACAGTAGAAAAGTCAGCAATGACCCACATGTATATGGTCTCCCTATAGTGCAAAAGAGAATTCTATAGTATAAAAGGGAAGGGATGAATATATCAATACAGGATGCTGATCAGTGGGATATCCATGTTGGGACAAACATACACACACGTACACATATACAGACATATATACTTCTTTCTACCAGAAAATAAAAACTCACTTCCAGTTAGGTTGCAAATGTAAATTATAAATGAAAAATATTAAATTTTCTTTAAAAATGCATAGGGGTATATATTTGTGACACAGAGGTTGGCATTTTTTTCCACAAAGTTTTAAACAAAGAAAATATTGATAAACGGGACTATATTAAAATTAATAATTTTGTAAATTAACAGAGACATTCCGAGAGTAAAGGAAAGCCTTTTAATACTGTTACTAGGTCATTTTCTGTATCTATATGTATTATATATACACCTATCTATCGATATAACCTTGATCCCTCCTTTCACCACACATTAAAAAATCAATTTGAAAATGATCATAAATTAAATATTTTAAAAGTATATCTTCTTTAGAAAATTGAGGAATATTATGTTGGGGAAGACAAAGATTACCTGAATATATATATCAAAGAGTACTAACCACAAAATAAAACATTAATCATACATTTCATTAAAATTAAGAACTTTTATTCATTAAGCAACACTATTAAGAGAATGAACAAGGATACCACAGACAAGGAGAAAATGTTTGCAATACATATATTCAATTACGAACATATACCAATCAAATAACAATCATATGACAATAACTTCAAATTAATGATTGAAAGGCTAAAACCCAATAGAAAATTGATAAAATAATTGAACCACCACTTCACAGAAGATATGACAAGCATCACATAAAAAATATGGTCATTTCTAAGTTATCTGTGATGTGTAAATTAAAAGCACTGTGAAATTATTCTACACATACCCACCAAAATCACTAAAATGATAGAGACAGACAATATTAAGTAGTGATAAGGAGGAAGGTATCTGGAACACTCACTGCTGGTATGGGTATACATTGGTAAAATTCAATTTTAAAGTCTTCGGTTGCATTTATTGTTTCTGGTTCCACACCTACAGAGCTTAGAAGTCATCAATTTATTCTAACAAGTAAAAAGCTAAATGGATGGAAAAACAAACTCTTGCTGGATCAGGAAGAAAGGGTAGAACACAGGGCAAACCGCTGTTGTCCCCAGGATTGGAGAGACAGACAGGCAACTACAGGGAATGAAGGCTTACTGGAGCAGAAATGCACGGTGGAAACTGCCAAGAGAACCAGGGCTGGGGTAGGAGCATCTGAACAGTAATTGACAAATTGCTGAATTGCTGGAGGCTCAGTGCAAACAAGCATGAGAGTTAAAAACTCCAGAGAGACCAATCACACTGCCCACCCTCCACTTTTGTGAGTTTTCCCTCCAGGCACTCAACCCAGTTCTTACAGTAAATATCAGAGAAAAATCCCCTTGGGTTTCCAGCAGAGGGAGGGGAAAAGGAACCATTTTGAAATACAGCAGAACACTCTGTTCTTCTTAAAGAGGACTGCACTCAAGGGAAACTAGTTAACCAGAACCTAAGCTGCTGGGGTATTATCACAGCCTAACTGACCTGGGGGAAGAGAAATACTCAACTCCAGTCAGGTCTAGCCTTCCAATGAGAAGGGAAACACACAAATCAAGCCCACTCCAGCCACTCTGCTCCACCTAGGGGGAGAGAAAAACAATGAGAAATACACGTAAAATCTCAGTCCGGAGGCATACATATGCTTACCAAAAGACTAACCTAATCAGAGAACTATACAGTATGTCATCAAAGTCACAGATAGGTTCTTGAAAATTGTGACTTTAAGTGAACAGACTATAAAGACACCAATTTTATTTCAGGCTAATTGACATAAACAAGAGTTAAGTTCCTATGGCATATTTCTGGTCATAACAACATCCTCAAACTTCTAAATAAAACCCAAAACACTTCTAATATTAAACAGTAAAATAAATATGAGCTATACGTACATTTCCCAAAGATTAATAAAAACAAGATAATTATTTACTCCTTTATTCTAATTCAGAATCTCAGGTGGCTGGACAGGATGCCATCCCATACCAGGACACACTCATACACATATCCACACACACACACACACACACACACCACACACTCATTAAGACTGGGACTGTTTAGACATGCCAGTTCATCTCAGGGGCACAGCTGTGGGATGTGGAAGGAAACTGCAAAATACCTGCGAAAAAACCTGCAGACATAGGGAGAACGTGCCAACTCCACATAGACAGTGACCCCAGCTGGGAATTAATTTTTTTTCTCATAGGTTTTATAACAAAATGATGTCGAAGGAAATGATGTTATTTCAGGACCTGCTGTAGAATACTTCCCACATCCACAACTTATTGCCACATTACTAAAGGACTATTTGGAGCAGTCCCTTTGACATGGTATATCATGGCCTATTAAGAAAAAACAGAATACAAAAGCATACTAAAAGGCAAAAACAACAACAACGACAACAAAAAAAAAACACAGAATTTGAATAGACAGAATGTATCTGAAACAGACATGGTAAGGATGTTGGAATTAGACTGATAATGGCTTGTGTCTCTCTTTTAACACTGGCATTTCAGCTGGTGATGTTCAGGGTTATCACATGGCTTCACTGCCAACCTGACTGCAATTCAGGACATCTGACCAAGGGTCAGCCTGTGCTTTCTCAGCTTACAACTCTCCAAGTGGACAGTTACAGAAGCTTAGCCTCAGAGCAGGGCCAGCTCTTCTTAGCAGTGCCCTGTGAGGCCAACAACATCATTCTACACCCAGAAAATCTGTAAGTCTCTGAAAGTTTGTCTTTTTTTAAATTCTCCACCCGCCCCCATTCTCTCTATTTTATTTTCTTATTCTTTCCTCTTTTTCCTTTACTTTCTCTAATCTGATTCTGTTTTCTCTCTTTCTCTCCCTCCATCAAATCCTTCCATCAACTGCAGTTCCCGTACTACAGATTTCCTGATTAAGTCCAGCCTTTACATGTCCTTCTTCTTCTCTTCCTACTAAGAGTGATCTCAGCCTTTATCTCTATGTTTTGGTCATGCTCAAACTTCTAAGATCAGCTGAACCCTCATTCCCCTTAATAATCCTTTTCTGAGTTCTCCAGCTGACATAGATCTTTCCCTCTTCTGAAAGCCTGTACCTCTGAGAATCTGTTCCACTTCTGCCTCTTATCCACCATTGCTCAAATGGGATACACACCTTAAAACATGCATCTGTGGGAACACACATAACACATGTGCCCAGCAAATTGTACATGATCATTCAGTGCTTGCTGATGAATTCTATGATGGCTGGTTAGGAGTTTAAAGCAGGGAAACAGAGACATATTTTCAAACAGGCCCCTTATCTGGCCTCTCTCCTATGCCTTTCCATAATATTTTCTCTACACACTTTTTCAGTTATAACCTGCCCCTTGTTTGTGCTTTCTTGGCTCTCTATCTTATTGTTTTACCTGTTTTATTCTTTTACTTTCTTTTATCCTCTGACAGGTGGTGACATATTTTTTCTCTTATTTCTTCTTTGAAAGAACTCCAAAGCTTTGCAGATAGTTTTTCCTTTCACTTTCTCTCTCTGTCTCTCCCTCTTCCTCTCTCTCTCCCCTTTCCCTCCCCTCTTCTCCTCCACGTTTTAATCCTTTTCTTCTTCTCATGACCCACCCAGAATTACCTTCTGAGTAACATAAGTTTTATTTAGAATTTGTAAAAATAAAATTGCTTCAGGGCTTAGACCCTATAGGCCAATCTTTGCTTGGAGACAATGTTTACAACTTAGCGATAAATTGGGATTGTTATCAAGGGGTTGACAGACTGTTACCTAAAGCACGGCTGGAAATAATGCCATAAAAATTGCTGAACATGGGAAAGTAAATGCTAATGGCTCCTGCAGTAAAAACAAGTTGGTAAAGAGCAATCAACACAATAAGAGTTACTGTGGTCAGTTTGGGGATGGAGTTGTGATAAGGTTAGGGATGTCATAATAGAGTCTTACTGGCCTGGAGAATGTCCTCCAGGACAGGACAAGGATTGGCTGGGAGTTTGCAAACCAGAGATCTAAGAGCTGATCCCTGGATAAGTAGTGGCTAAGGGATCTTTCTAAAGGTATCAGAATGTTATGTCTCAAAATACTGGAACCCTATAAAAGCTGGGATTCAGGCACAGAGAACAAGGCAAGAAGCTCATTTTCTTGCATGCGGACATAGACTTTTTTTCCCTTACCCCAGGAAACAAAATGGAACCACTTATTAGATTCAGGGAATTAGGTTTAAGCTCCTCTATGCTCAGAGATAAATTACATTTCTTAGTTCCCTTTGCAGTTGTGTTCAACTATGGCCCTGTGTTCTGACTAATGAAATGTAGGTGGAAGTCATATATGCGCATCCGGGCCCGTCCCATAACACTCACTCATGCATATTCGAATTCTTCATAGTTTTCCCCTGTCCATGGTTGGTTGGAGAAAGCTTTGAGATGAAGAGTCTTAAGATAGAGGAAGAGGAAGCCTGGTACCCTTAGTTATTCTTTAAAGAGGAGTCATGCACAAAAAATTAAAAAAAAAGAAAGGATGTGCACAGGCACATGCACAGACACATGTTCAATTACAAGAACCAAAAAATAAACCCATCTTAGCCTGTAGATTAAAAATAAACATTTATTTTATGAAGAAAATAAATGATGAGCAATTAATCTGCAGTTGGTTGACCATGGTGAACCTGAGTGGACTGTGATTTCCAGTTTTGCCATTCTGTAGGTGTTTTCTGGTAAAAGCTCCTCTCTATTCCTAGAAAACAATTCCCAATATCAGTTCATGTGGTTTGGGTTGGTTCATTCCAGCTTCTTCTGTATCTATATATAGTCTATATATGACTCAGGCCTAGATGATCCACCTATTCAATCTCCAAGCCTCCTACTTACATGCAGATTCATAACCCAAAAACCATCTCGTCAAAATGAATTTTGAGGGTTGCTGGTGTCAACCAAAGTAGTCTCACTAAAGGATGTGTAGCTACAAGAGTGTCAGCCTGGATCTTACAGGGTCTCTGTAAGGAGAAAGCCATTTTGAGAATGAAACCAACATAGCTGAAAGCAAAACTGAGAGGTAGAGATAGCTCCTGATGACATTTTTTGAACACACAAATCCAACTATTCCTGAAATGAGGCAGCATTGAGCTTTTCCTTTTTCCTTTAAGAAAGTCCAAGTTAGGCTGGGTGTGGTAGCTCACACCTGTAATCCCAGCACTTTGGGAGGCCGAGGCAGGCAGATCACGAGGTCAGGAGATCAAGACCATCCTGGCTAACATGGTGAAATCCCATCTCTACTAAAAATACAAAAAAAATTTAACTGGGCATGGTGGTGGGCACTTGTAGTCCCAGCTACTCAGGCAGGAGAATGGGGTGAACCCTGGAGGCAGAGCTTGCAGTGAGCCGAAATCACGCCACTGCACTCCAGTCTGGGTGACAGAACGAGACTCCATCTCAAAAAAAAAAAAAAAAAAGTCCAAGTTAGGTATCTGAGAATCAGAACCACAAGAATTGTTTTGAACTCTTTAACCTGAGATTCTATGATCCTACATCTCCAGGTTGGGTAAAATGGCCCCAGATGAAGGTGAAAACAGAAAGAGAAAGTCCACAGGTCAGGGTATCTCCCTGTCAGGTCGTCATTCAAAGGAATATGTAATACTAAGCTGAGCACACAGAGGACACTCAATAAATGCTTTTGGTGGATCATCTGCATATCTTATACCATGTAAATAATAGTTGATTGCAACTTTTTGATTTCTTGTACAACCTCAGTCATAAAACTTTCTTATAACTAGGATGCCAATATGATTCACCATCAAAACGGAGATACTTTTGAGACTGAAATGAGAGCTATTAATAATTAAACCAGAATTATAGGCATCAACTGGGACTTTCTTGGGCAAAGCTGAGCATATATTTTTTCTTATATGTAAATAAGGATTTTGATAGACTCATGTATAAACGTATTTGTTTAAATCCCAGATAAGATATCCAAATCTGATTTGTGCTCTCTATGAAACAAACAATAGAGGGAAGTATGAGTATGTTTAAAAACACGCATAAATAAGGATTATCCAGTAAGGATTTTTATTTCTCCTAAGATAAAAAAATAACCTGTGAACATATATAGAACACTGAATTGTCATAAGGACAGTGGCCCTTAGAAAATCTTTTGGAAATAATGATTTCTCAATGCACAAAATTTTGAAACTGGTATTTCTAGTGCTTTCTTTCTCATTCCTTCTCTTTCTTAAATTTTTAATTAAATTTAATGTTTTATTCACTGTGCTCAGACATAGAATAGGCATAGTCATTTAAGGACAATAAGAAATATAAATACAGAAAAATGAAGGAAGAAAAAAAAAACCTGAGAAAACTAGGAAGAAGTTCAATGAAAAGGAAATAAAAGGATGTGTTGTTTTTGAAGAAGAAAGGCATGTTCAACATAATTTATGTTGCATTAGATAGAGATTATCAAAGGGAAAGTAGAATGACTTCAGATCTTTAAAAGCCAAAGATTGAGAATTTGCCTTTGTGCCTGTTGTTAAACCAGTAGAAAGACCTTCAAGCATTTGAGAGATATGGCTCTGAAGACTACGCCTTGGTGTTTAAAATGCCATAAGGCTAAAGTTTATGATGAAAATAATAATGATGACGGTTAACATTTACGGGGCCCCTACGATTTTCTGAGCACTGTCACAGGTGCTTTACACATTTTAACTCACATAATACTCATGCAACCCCATAAGTTAGTTACTACTACTAGCCTACTTTTATATCAGAGGAGAACAAGTCACTAAGATATTAAGAAGCCATTCAAATCATAACGATTTCAGGTAGTGCTGCTTAGATTCAAATCCAGGCTCTCTTACTTCAACCCTAAACAGGCAATCACTAAATTATAAGATGACCTGTCTGAGATGAATAAGTCCTCAGATAAAAGGAATAAATTTAGGAAATCTGTGGAGAAAAAAGCTAGAGAATGTATCTTTGGAGTGGCGGGGTTTTGATTTTCTGATCTTATGACAGCACGGTTGCAAGGTCCAGAGAGAGGTAATTTTTGAGGTGCAGAAATTGGAATATTGGTTGGATGGTATCAGAAAAAAAAAACAATTTCATAGAGCAAGGAGTAATAATACAGAGCAGAAGCAGACAATGAGACTCAGTGGATCAATACAAGACAGGATATTAATCATTGCACAGCAGCAATGAATAGGAGTCTTGGCATAGTAGTACCAATTCCCTTGGCCCCAAGGCCCACAGAGTGATGTGATGGGTCCAGATTGCAGCTACACACTCGGTGGGTTGCATTGCAGCTGAAGAACCCAGGGCTAAGGGCCCAGTATATTTTATAGCAAGCACTAAATAGGACAGTCCCCAGTCTTTGGGGAGTAGGTGGTCATACTGCATCATGTTGCAGTCATCTTGGCCTGCTTAAACATCTATATGACTAGCAGTAGAAATGACTCTGGTTTAAAGAACAGTTAGGCCTTTGGGTACTCTTGCATACCCAGCAAAGACACTCAGGACCAGGGCAGAAATCTTCTCCTAATAGATAGTAATGACCTTAGTTGAGACAGGAGCTAACATAGTGCTCATTTTTTTATGAAAAGACAATGCTCACAATATATGTAAGAATGTGTTAAATTTGAGATATTATTAGCATATCTGGAGAGAACTACTTTCCCAGAGTCAGAGAGAGGAGTTCGGGATGAGGACAAACATATGGGAATTATCAGCAAGTAGTTACATCTACAGCTAAGGAAAAATTGAATATGATTTTTTAAATTTACATTGACACCCAATTAAATACATAGGGAAATTAATCCCACTTTCTCTACCCTCTCCATACCCTTCCTATTTACCTTTTAAGGCCCAACTCAAACATTACCTTTAGTATGGCTTTTGGAACAATATTGGCGTTCACTAATATTAATAATTGACAGGCTGACTGGCAGATGGATGGACTAAATAAAACAAGAAAAGATTCTCTGTTAAATGTTTTCCCATATCATTTCTCTCTCTCATCTCAGTTCCTGTAGCACTTTTCATCTTGACTGTTCATTTGGCCCCTATACTGCCTTTTGCGACTCATTTTTTTCCTGCTGTATTTTACCGGTTTGGAAGCTATTTAAAGACAAGGGTTACTAAGTAAATTTATTTGTATTCACCAGAGCTTCAGCAAACTGCCTTGCCTAAGTTCAGCATTAAATAAAGGCCTTCGCTTTGACACAGTAGGCAAAGGCATAATACATATGTTATGTTTTTGTCTATATTCCTAAAAGATGAAAAAACATTAAAGTAATAGCTTTCATATTTGAACATTTAGTATGTGTTCATTACAATGCTCACCTCATTATATATTATCTCTTTTAATAATATTTAATTACCATGAACTAGAAAGGCTGGGATTATTATCCCCTTTAAAGAGATGATGAAACCAAGATTGAAGAAGACCATGTCATGTGCCTAGAAATATAAAGACACTGAATAGTAAAGCTGGGTTTTGTATACTTGATTCCGAGGCCCATATTAAGCCCAAGGATAACCTGTTTACCTTTTTTATGCTGCTTTTTGCTTTGAAAAAGATAGCTCTCACCAGAATTATTTCTGGGACCTGGATTTCAGGGACAAGCCCATCTCTTTGCTAGCCAGAAAGTTTCCAGGCCACAGCCACTGAGTAAGTCTCAAGTGCAGACAAAAATTACGGAAGCAGGTACCTAAGGAGTCAGAAAAGTTCTTGACCTCATTCCAAGTGCTTGGGCTGCCCAGCTTAGCCTGCACAGCAAGACACTGCTGCACGCGCTCTCCCAAGGATGGAAGGGCTGAGTGGACGAAGGTAGCTCCCCACTTCTCCCTCCCTCCTCTGGACAGTAGGGACAGCAGGGACTTGCCTAGCACATGCTCTGATGAAGACATTATTATTAAGAGTAACCGTCCTTCTATGCACCAAGTCTTTTTAACGCCCCCCACAACTGGAAGAAAAGTCTGTGTCTTAGACTTCAGACTTGTTCTGACTCAGACTGTGGAGCACGACCGTTTAGGCTGATTATGCCATGATCTATACAGGCTTGCTTGGCAGCCTACAAAAGCCCCCAGTTACCTGAAGTTGTTTCAGCAAACCATACTGATCTCTAACCTTTTTGTATATTTATTTGCATTTTACAGATGTTCTAATGTGTTATTTCCAATCAATAATCAATTGTGGTAAATATTAGAATGATTTGTAAACAATTAAGTTCTAAGAAAAACCCTAATTAATCTTCACAGAAATCCTGCGAGAAACTCTGTTTCTCTGTTTTTCAGATTAGAAAACTGAAGCTCAGAGACTTTAAGGGACATGCACAAGCTTACTCCAGCAGTCAGTGTCATCACTACAATATGGGTTCAGTCCTTGTTTTTTGTTGTTGTTGTTGTTGTTTTGTTTTGTTTTGTTTTTTTGAGACGGAGTCTCTCTCTTTTGCCCAGGCCAGAGTGCAGTGGCGCTATCTCGGCTCACTGTAAGCGCTACCTCCTGGGTTCACGCCATTCTCCTGCCACAGTCCTTGTTAACGTGACTCTCTACAAGCAAAGCTTCCTGCCAAGTAACAATGCTTTCCATTTGTTTGGAGCTTTATAATTTAGTTGTTTTCTCCATTTTGAGCTATCTGATTTCATCCTCCCATCAGCCCTCCTGAACAGAGAAGGCAGCCAATGTTTTCTTCTTTAATAAATGAAGAAACTGAGGTACAAAGCATTTGAGATACTTGTCTGAGGGAACTTCATAAATGGGTCGAAACCAAAAGCTACCCTTAGGAAAGTTATATCTTTTTCCTTCACAGAGCATCATTATATAACCATTCATTCCAGAAAGTTCCATTTTATAGCTGTAGCTTTTCTGTTAGTGACAAGAAGACATAGTTATATAAATTTTCAAAGGTGCACACAGTTAACTAAGAAGAAAAGGCAAAGGGCATTTAGGGGGCACAGGGATAAATCGGGGTCAAGAGAGCCATAGTGGGGAGCCCTGGGTACCCTGAATCCCAAGTAAGGAGCAGCAGGCAGGCAGCCTTTAACTCCAAAGCCTGTGTGGCGTAGGCTTAGAAATCCTTTAGCAAGACTTTGTAGCCAGATTTTAGCATCTCGCAGAGGTGGGCTAGGGTCAAGGCCTGCCTTTGCTCATTAAAGATGTGTGACCTTGGGCTGTTTACCTGTCTTATCTCAGTATCACTTTCCTCATCTGGGAAATGTGGTAGCAGTAATATCTGCTTCATAGCGAAGTTGAGAGAAGGGGAGTTACTTACACAGTATTTGCCACTAAAGAGAGAAAAAATGAAGAGTTGTCTTAAAAATGGAGGCAGTGTTATGCATGGCACTGGTATGGAAAAGAGGAGTCCTGGAGGTCAAAGTCTAGCTCTGTCTATTGCCTTGTTGCCACAACTGATTGTAAGTCAAAAATGTCAATTGTATTCTATGCTCCTCAATCTCAATTTGACACTGCCTGTGACAATTTACAAAGAACTTCTATAGAAATTAAATCATTAAATCTTCACAGCCATTCAGGTGAAAGTGATATTGGAGGGGGAATCTAGCAGCCTTTCTGTCCATCCACACGATATACTCACCATATGCACCACTAAACAGAGAGAGGAACATACTCATGGTTATTTGGTGATGAAATCATTAAAGCCCATTATCCCCTTGGCAGGCCTTCTAGAGGTAAGCCACAGAATCTAAACATGAGAAAAATGTCAGACATTATCTACTCATGGTCCATGCAATTCAAGACTTCCCTGTGACGATGTTGGTGTTGAGGATGACCCTGCAATCTTAGATAGACCTGTCCTTCACTGGAAAATTCTTCTTTGTCCTCAAACTTCCTTCTACAACCAAATTCTACCATTAACCTATAAGGTTAATCTTATTATCTCCTCTATTGATCTAAACAAGATGAATCTGCTCCAGCCAAGAGGACCTACTCGCTGCCAATTAAATAGGCCTACCTTTCCAAATGCCATAACTTGCTCAGTTTATTCCTAGGTTTGCAATATCCTTTCCTTTCTTTTAATCCAGGAAAGATGCATTCATCCTATAAGATCTAACTTGGGATTTTACTCATCAGTAGTCCTTCCATCGATCACATCAGTGTCTCTCTCCTTTGGATTTTAAGTACACATGTTTGGTACAATTTGTTCAGTAATTGATTATAAATGGAGGCGATTGTGATGTCAGTAATATATATTTATGGCTTACTGTCTAACTTGGGTTTAGATAATAAACTCAAGTTTACTCACATTCAATTAGATAATAAACAATTAATAAACAATTAACTAATCCAATGTGAAGTTACAATAGTGGTTATCAGAGACTTGGAGCAGGAGAAGGGAGGGGCAGAGATTTGTAATGGGTACAAAGCTGCAGTTCCTGGCGGGGGTTGAATTCAGTTGTTTTACTCCTCAGTAGTGTGACTGTCTAGCTCATTTTTCAATAGAGCTAAAAAGGAGGGCACTGAATGTCTGACCCATGTTGCCTGCTCCTTAAAGGAAGGAAGCATCATTTTTTTTTGTCATTCACATCATATAGACTAGTGTCTAGCACATTTTAAGAATTTGATATGTCCCACACAGCTGCCACCAACCTTCAAATCCTCTGAACGCGGCTCTTCTGAATTGAGATGTGTTGCAAATGTCAAATACACACGGAATTTAGGAGACTTTGTAGAAAAATAATGCACAATGCTGCGTTGCTTTTCTAAAAGCAACTTGAATACAATTTGAAGTAATATTTTGTATATTTTGGGTTAACTAAAATGTATTCTTGATAAAAAGAATTCGATAAAAATTTGCTGAACAATGCATTTAAATTCAAAACGACAATAATATTTTTTGGCATTGTGATTGATTTATTATAGAATTAGTGCCCCAGACAGTAAATAATGACAGTGTTCATTTTTTGGGCCTTCATTGTCTAATTATAAAATCTGATAATCTTTTCAGGTTTTATAATTTTATAATTTCAATAATTCAACTTATGACAGAAGAGAAGAAGAGAGAGGTTAACTCAGTCGTCCAAATATAGTGATCTGGTAAGATGATAGAATTGAGCCTTGCTTGATCTCAGTGGTCTGACTTCAGAGCACATTTTTAGCCACTGCTCTGTGTTGCTCTTTGGTACTGGGGTGACCCTATGATTCTTTTACGCGCAATAGTTACTCAGTAATTGAGTTTTGTTGTTGGTCATAGTGTTGGCTGGCAAGACGCCATGGAGGAAAGCTATTCTCACTTCAGATTTCTGGAGCATAACTGTATCTGAATAAATGTCTAACCCAGTTTAAAGTCTGTCGTATCTACAGTGAAAGAAAAAGTGATCTCAAATGCATCTACTTTTATACCTGCTCCTACTACTTTAGCTCCAAATCCCCTTTCCATAATTATGCATCTGTCTTTCTTGCAAAACATGCAAATATCCAAATAACCTGAGTGGAATATCATTTTCCATGGCAGCTCCCTTCTAGCCATAATAGACCAGCTGGCAAATTTCTCCAGAGTATGCATAAAACATATATTTTTATCAGTAATAGAAACGTTACTTGTCCTATTATTCCCTAAAGCATCTGGGGAGGGAGGGACGGAGAGAGTGTATGTGAGAGAGAAAGGAGAAAGAGAGTCTCTATTTATTGTAATTCTGCTTTTAAAATGCATAGCACTTTTACCCCCCTCCAAACAAATGTTCAAACTCTGAAGAGTTTTTGGGTCCTGGGCTGGAGATTTTTTTTAATCCCTCGCAAATTCCTCTGTAGTCTTGGCTTATTTGAAATTCATAGTCTTCTTTTAAAAATCAAATTAAAAAAAGAAAAAAGAAAGAAAGAAAGAGGCATACACTTTCTTGGCATGTTTTGCTCTGGCAGGTCAAAGGCCGTTCCTCCTATTAATTAATGCAGCCCTGCAGGGCCCCAGAGGAGCAGCCCCGTGATCTAGCTCCATCGATAGAAGCAGCCCTGGCAGGGAGGGCTTCTCAAGCTTACCAAGGGCCTCAAGCAAAACAGGCTGGAAAGAACTGTTTTCATATCATTTGTGTCAATCCACTGTGTCCATGCACAGTCTTGACATGGAGAACTCAGGAAATCATTCTGACTGCAACGAATGTCAAAGTGAAAGCAAAAGAAGGACCAAAGAGGGTCAGACTTCTCTGCAGCCACTGCAGAATGTGTCAGTGCCTCACCTGCACGGTCCGTGTCTCTGAAGTAACCAACCTCACATCTTCTCTTCGTCATACTTCTCACTGAAGTCCATCTCAGCATGCTCTCCCTTCACTACCCCCTTTTCCTAAATTCCTATTCATCCTGCACAATCACTGCTTTATCTATTCATTCAGCATATTTCTTACCTCCCAGAGTCAGTTACTGTCCTAGACACTGGATAAGTCAGGGAACAGAACCAAGTGTCGGCTCATGGAGCTTACAACAAATTCCAAGAGAAAGACGTCAATACTCAAATGGACAAACACACATAACTATTTCAGGGCTTCCAGAATGCCTTGAAGAAAAATGAAGTAAGGTCAGAAAACAGATAAGGGGAGGTAAAGAAGGGTTTTACTTAGGCTTCTGAGGAAAGCTTTCCTTGATAGGGTGACATTAAAGCTGAGATCCGAGGAGAGTGAGGACACGGGCCAGGCTGACATTTGGGAGAAAAGTGTGGGTCGAGGGAACAACAATTACAAAGAAACTGGGGCAAGAGCATGTTTGGTCAGCTTAAGAACCGCAAGGAGGACAGTGTAGCTGGAGGCGAAGGCCTGTGATGGAGAGGGAAGAGATTAGACACAGCAGTCCTTGGGACTAAACTATAAAGAAGCCTGTAGGCCATGATAAGGATTTTAGACTTTACTTTGACAGAGATGGAAGCCATTGGCATCTTTTGAGGATAGATGTGACATAAGGTGACCTATGGCTTATTGGGCTAGCATGAGGCAAGCAGTCTGACCACGAGGTAAGTGGCAGGAGATGAGTGGGCACTAGTGCAACATTCCAGGTGAGAGACGACAATTTAATCCGGAGTTGTAAAGGTGGAGTTATTATGAAGTTATCAGAATTGAGTCTCTACAATAATCATGATTTACATATGATATGAAAAGAAGGGGAGAATTAGGAGTGATTTTTTTGTTTGCCTCTTTGTTTTTGTTTTTGTTTTTTTAGAGACAGGATCTCGCTATGTAACCAAGGCTGGCCTCAAACTCCTGGGACCGTCTGGCCTCAGCCTCCTGAGTAGCTGAGACTATAGGCCCACGCCATTGTACCTAGCAAGAGTGACTTTAATGTTTTTGGCCTGAGAAAATTAAGAATAGGAAACAGAAATTGCCATTTACTGAAAGAGAAAGGATATCAGCGAGATGACTTGGGATGAAATATCAAAATTTTGCTTTTGAAACTATTAAGAAGTCTATCAGATATAAATAAAGAACATTTCCTTGATTCCTCAGAATACAACAGTCCCATTATTACATATTTTTATGTAACACGGTTTTGTCCAGAGGTTTCCAAAACTGGCTGCTCATAAGACATATCAGAAGATATTTGTATTTTTCTGCGTCAACACTGTTGTCACTGTTTGTGCCACGGTATCTGACGTAATTTGTTTCAGCGGCCCAGTGACCACCCATAAGTTCAGTGCTTCCCTAGGAGGACCCAAGGGACTCAGCATATAATTTTATTCATGACTATGATTTATTGCAGTGACACAGTAAGAAGATATAGCCAGATCCACAAGGCAAAAATACACATCAAGCAGTTTCTAGTTTCCAAATCCACCAGCACCCTTTCTAGTCTCTCTCCAAAGGGGCTACACAGAGCACACCCTCCCTCCAGTCCTGAAATGCAGTAACCCGCATGTACTTCTTATGCCCCAGGAAGTTTACTTGAAACTCAGAGTCCAGGATTTTTATTGGGGATGGGTTACATAGACACAATGATCAGTAATAAATATCAAAACTCCAGACTCCCAGAAGAATATCAGGTGATCAATGCCCCAAGCAGGCATATATTCTTATCACTTAGAGAACTTTATAGCATCTAAGTACTAAGATACCAGCAAAGAACCAGCATAGAAGAAGATCCTTCTAAAGATCAGACTTGTTATGTTAACTCTTCTCTGCTCAATTACAGATTCTGAGACAAAAACACTAGCACAGATTTAGATATCACACCGTGTGGAATGGGATCTGGCAGCCTGTAGGTTTTTAAAGTATTTAAAATATTTACAGCTAAGTCTGATGATCACTCAGGTTTAGGAATCATTCACTAAAACCACATGGAGTTCATCATAGCCCAGCCCACCTGAAGCAAACTTTTCGATGAATGAATAGCAAGGCACAGGAGAGGGACTTGGAGACACTCTCTGTTAATATCTAACTGAAGTCCTAGGCAAATCACCTTACTACTCGATTTCTTCATCTGTAAAAGGATTGGGGGTGGGAGGTAGATTAGATGATTCCCCAATGTCCCTTTCAACCTTAATAATCTTTGGTCTAGGTCAGAGAAAGTAGTATGAAATGAAAAGATATAGGGATCTTGGCCAGCGGTCTTCCCCACTTTCTCCTCCCACTCTCCTTGAAATGCAGAAAGCAAAGCCCATACTCTCCCCTCTAGCTGTGTATGCACTTGAGGATGCCTTGGCTGAGGCATGCTGCAAGATCAAGAGAAGCAAAGGCTGCCTTTAAAGGATTTCTCCTCTACATTAATGTCACAAGTGACAAGACAATTTCACAGTGGAAGGAGGAAATGTACTTGTTTTGTGGAAATGAAAGAGAGAGATTAAAACTTGAACAGTCACAAGGGCCTTTTGGGGAATTTTAAAGACAAGTCTACCCGAAGACAACTCTACTGATAAATCTTAGATTTCCGGGGGGAGCTTTTCAGCCTATTTTCTGTCTCTATTCTTTTATAGCCTTTATAAGAAAACTGTGGCTGCATGTTACAGAACAGAAGTGATCAAGATGAAATAAGAAATTTGAGTTTGTAACTCTGTCATAGAATTAAGAGATCTTGATGTCAAAGCTCTTCCTTTGCAGTTAGAAGTTACAAAGCAGTTCACTGAGTCCAGGTCCCCCAGCCACTAAAAAGGTAGATCAGGACTAATAAAAATATTAACACCTCACATGTATTAAATTCCTACTAATGGGGCAAGTAGCCAATAACAATATAATGGTAACTTTTTCAGAAAATTCTCAATTGGTAAATGTCTCTTCTTCATTCGTCCTTCCTCTCTTCTGCTATCTCAAATTTGTCTTGTCTCCTGAATCTTTCTTACCAATATACAAGTCTATGTTAGTATCCCTAATCTTAAAATACTCTCTCCTGGATTAACTTTTATTACCAATCAGTTTCTCTGTTATTTTTTACGCACAAAGTGTTATCATATCAAATCTTACATATCCATGTATTAATACATATCAAGTGTTATGTATGAAGTCTTACATATCAATCAGTTATTCATTCCTTCAACAAAAGTATTCATTAATATCTGTCACAGTCAGTGGATGAGGCACTAGAAACCAACTGATGAACAACACTGGCTTGGTTCCTGCCATCATAATGTAATGTGACTCACTGTTGGAGTGGAGGTTAGTGGGGAGAAGATACACAGACAAATCTCTCTCCCTCTCTCTGTCTCGCTCTCTATTTAGCAAAAGTGGGAACATTTCTTTGTAATGTGACTTTGCAGCTCCTCTCAATAAGAAGTAGAGTCTCTTAAGATTTTAATCCAGGCTTGTGTGTTACTTGATTTGGCCAATGGGATATTTTCTGTCTGTAATCTTTTGTGATCTTTGTAAGAAAACTGTGGCTGCATGTTATAGAACAGAAGTGATCAAGATGAAATAAAAAAAAAAAAACCCTAGAATTTGTAACTGTCACAGAATTAACAGATTCTTATGTTAAGACTCTTCCTTTACAGTTAGGGATTAAGGAGGGATTAGCTGAGTCTAGGTCGCTCATCCAGTAAAGCGTAGATTAGGACTAATAGAAATGATAACACCTCACATATATTACGTTCCTACTAATGGAGCAGGTTGCCAATGAAAATATAGTAGAGTAGTAATTTTATTTTAAAATTCTAAATTTTTTCGATGCTTCTCCTTGGTAAGACTATAAATGGCTATAAAAAATAAAATAAAATAAATGTTTCTCCTTCATTTATCCTTCCCCTCTTCTGCTATCTCAACTTTGTCTTGTCTTCTAGATCCTTCTTATCTATATACAAGCATATGTTAGTATCCCTAAACTTAAAACACTCTCTCCCAAATTAACTTTTATCACCAATCCATTTGTTTGTTACTTTTAACAAAGTATTTAAGAGAGTTATTTAGATGTGATACCATCTCAAATTTCTCACCGCCTATTCACTGTTAAACCTACTCCAAAATGGGATCTCTCCCCAACTATTTCCATGAAAACTGTTCTCACCAAGTATATCAACAACCCCCACATTGCTTGATCCAGTACAAACTTACTATTTTCATCTTACTCAATCTTTTGACCACATTCATCATAGCTGAACATGATTATCCCTAGCTCCTGTGATACTATACTCATGCAATTTTTTTATAACTCATGAGCCATTGCCCCTTGGTTATGTGTGTGTGTGCATGTGCATGTGTGCACATGTGTGTATATAAACAGGGACAATATGCATAAGTGTAAGTCCTTAATTTTTCAGCTCAATTAGTTTTTACATATGCACATACCTGTTTAACTACCACCCAGATAATGATATGGAATAGTTCCAGAGTGCTCCTTCATGCCACTTCCAAATCAATACACACACTCCTGCCCAAAGAATTAATACTATTCTGACTTATGTAAACATATATTGCAGGGCTCCCAATAATATCAAGAGATGGCAAAGTCCATTGACATGCACATTGCATGCTTCTTTCTGAGACTGAGAAGCATTTTTTATACATCCCATTGACCAAATCAAGTAACAGTAACACGGGTAAGCCTTGGTTAAAAGAATAGGAGATTCCACTTCTTGCTGAGAGAAGCTGCAAAGTCATATGACAAAGGAATTTTTCCATTTTTGCTAAAGAGAAAGAGGCACAGAGAGAGAGAGATTTGCCTGTATAAGTTCCCCTCATTTACCACCACTCCAAGAGTGAGTCACATTACATCACGGTAAGGATTAAGCCAGTGTTGTTCACCAGTTGGTCTCTAGTACCTCATCCACTGACTGTGACAGATATTATTAAATATTTATTGAAGTAATGAATGACTAAATGATTTATATTTACTTAGTCCCTGGTTTTGTAACTCCTACTTGGTGCTTAGAAAATGGCTCTAGAATAGAGTTGTTGTAAATCTGCAGAAAGAGGAATCTGAGTTAGGGGTGCATATTAAAATTCAGGTCAATATTACAAACGGACTGAGTTGTGATGACAATCTGTCCCCAGATCCGTATGGTTCCAAGCCAACGAAAGATCTGTATCCCTTTGTTCTCCTCAAACTCTCTTCCACTGTTTTGTTTGATTGTTAGTTTTCTGCTGGAGAAATTGTTTATTATTCCTTCTGTTGATTGTTAGTTTTCTGCTGGAGAAATTGTTTATTATTCCTTCTGCTTTCAATTGCATTCACTAATAATGATAATCACAGCTCTCATTCATTGAGCAATTGTAAGGTGGCAAGCACTGTACTATATACCTTTGTTACGTTCAGTGATCAAAATGTTTCTATTTATCAATATAATTTATTTAATTATTAATTTATTGTTCCTATTTCCTATGAAAAGATACTGAGACTCCAACATAACCAAGAAATTACATGGCAGAACTGGGAATGCAATACAAAAACATGACTCCAAGCTCACAAGCCTAAGCACTACGCCCTCCTGGCCTTCGTGAATACATTTGTTTGGAATTTTAGAGTTAAAATTTAGTGGAATTTATCTATAAAAATAGAATCTTGGGATGTACACAATTTCCAATGTTATCTAGTTCAATATTCAAAGTTTAACACTTCTCTCCAGTATACTTGGCAAGCAGTAGCCTGGTTATTTTTGTAATTCCTCCAGTCATAAAGGAGCTAACAACTTTACTAGAAAGCCCATGCCATTTCTAGGGTAGAAAATGTATTTTATAGTCATGAGTGAGTGAAGGAGAGAGGAAGAAAGAAATAGAGCCAAATAGATGGGCCCCACTCCCTGTATTTCAGTGAAGTGCCAACGCCTTCCTGTTTGAGATAATCCAGTTGATGTCAGATTGTCCCCAATATCTCTTATCAGGTTAGTGATTCCTTTTTTAGAGGGGGCAGAGAACGAGAGAATTGGCAACATGAAATAAAAGTATTCACCCAGAAATCCAAAATTTGGATTCTGTGTGTGTTTCCATGCACATTTGTATGGATCAGGGATCAAATAAATAAAATCTCCTTGGGGAATCATGAAGCATAAGAAGTAACTGTCTCGACCTGACCCCAACAGATACTTATACATCATTATTTGTAAAAAAAAAAAAAAAATACCAGGCTTCTCTTCCTTAGCAAAGCTGAGGTAAAGGGCAGTGAACAAGGGAGGAAATTCAGGGTGTGTCTTTGGATGAGTGTTGTTCCAGATCCATTTCACAGTATATTTTCCCTGTAGTTGGTCCCTGAAGAAAATGTTTTATTTATTTTTCCCCTTGGGCAAAGAAAACTGAGGAATGTAATTATGCTCCTGTCTGGACATCCATAAAACCCATCAAAGGATATGACACGTACAATAATGGAAACAAAGCAAATACAAATTAAGCATAACTATCTATAATCCACTGCCTTATATAAAACTTTTTAATAGTCTGTGGAACTAGTAACTGAGAAAACACAGGCCACCACTTACAGCTGTTCAAGATGTACACTGCACCAGTCCAGAAGGTAACTTTCATCTTGTTTTCATTGACAGATTTGTGTACCTATTTTTCCAATTTCCTGGCAGGTGGCAATACTGTTTTTTAAGGAAGGGAAGCCTTTTTGTTGTTTTGTTTTCCCCCTAATTCACCCAGATTTTCCCATGATGATAGGAAAATATCACTGTGCATCTCAGAAGCTATGCTCCTTACTGGCACTGGAAGATAGCCTGCAAACCAAGACATGGTTCTTTTAGGGTAATAAGCTGAGTTGCATTCCTTCAGGGTTTTTACAAGACATAAAATTGGTGTTCCAGGAAACATTAAATTCAATTGCCCTCAGATAGCCCAATACCTTCCACTGGAGACAGGTATATTTTTTTCTTCAGAACTTAATAAAACCAGTCAGCAAACAAATGGGTTTCATCTCTGACCTGGGACAATGAGCCATGCCAAACACCAGTGTTCTCCTCCCTAAGGCAGTGGGATTTGTGAACTTCATTAGTTTTAGGAGTCCAGTTACCTGTGGATTTATAGAAGTAGTGTGCTGCAGTGATTAGACAATGGGCTGGTAGACAGAGTATCTTGGTTGCAATTCTGACTTTTGCATTCATGTGACTGGCATATCAATGGCCTTCTATCTACCTCCTTCTCCTCATATGGAAAACTGAGGTGACCATATCTGCCATTCCTGCCTTTCATAATTGTGGAGCTTAAATGCATGAAGTTGACACAAATCAATGTGTAAAAGGACATTATAGATCATAATGTATTATACAAATATAGGGGCCTGTTAAATATTTTAATTTTATCTTTAAGGCCGAGATTACAAACTCTAGCAGATAAAGGACCAGTTAGATAGCTGTAGCAGCCATTAGGCTATTGACTTTCATTTTCAAAACCTCTTTCTTTATACTATTTTGTGATGCTAGGGCCTGATCTCTGAAAACCACATTTTGACTTAGCCAATTACTAGAGGCTCAGCTCACGGAGGCACTAGAAGGCGGCTGGAAGGCTTGAAGAGGATGAAAGAACTTAAGTCTTTTCGGTTTTCTTCCTGTTTCTGTTTTGTTTCAGTTTTAGTTTTCCTTCTGTTCCCATTAGTGTCCACTTAGCAACATTTCTCCATCCTAGTGACAGCAGTGCATTCCAGGACTAGCAGTGCTGGGATTATAATTTTCAGTTTGTCCAACTTTGGCAGAATAAGTCTCATCATTTCTCCTCAAAGACACCCATACCAGCTGGCACTACTTTCTGCAAAAGTCTGGGTTGCAGTCTCACCAGGCCCCTTCTCAGAGGTTGATTTGAACTTTACAGAGGCCCTTTCACATACCTTCAAGGTTGAACAAGTACAACGTTTTCCTTGATTTTCTTCCAGCCCCGGGGGGTCACAGCTGCTTCCTACATTTGCTGTCCGTGATTCTTCAATATGCAGTTTTTATTTTTCATATTAAATCCTCTCTGTTAAACTAATTGACATAAGTTACATCTCCTCACTGGCTCCTGACTAATACAGAGATAAAAATTTGTTAAGCAGGTTTGATATTTCTTGCACATCTACACATGATTTCTGTTTGCTTTACATTGCTTGTTTTTTCTCATATAGCGTGTTTTTTCATGCATACCTGCACTTGGTTTGCATAGTAAACAAGAAATCCATTTCCACAGACTTATGTGCTGTTTTTCTTTCTCTTTCTCGCTTTCTTTCTTTTCTTGTTGAAGCATAACTCTATCTTGCACTACCTTAATTTACCTACTTCTGCTAAGTATGTGTATCCAAATAATATTTGACTTTTCTCTAAACATTAGGGGAAAATTTAAGCATAATTGCCACAACAGCAACAAAAGACAACTTTCACCGGAACTTAGGACCAAGGGGAAATAGGGAGAAGTGGAGAAAGTGACAAACTAGAGAGTACATGCTAAAGGCCAAGCTTGACTCAGTTCCTGCTGATGGTGATGACGAAGGCAATGTGAGATCACTGGGGCCAGGTTCCCAGATTTTTCACAAGAAAACAAAAATCCATGTTTGTGCTTTGAATTGAAATGCTCATGACTATTTTTAAAAGAATATTGAATATTGTGCTGGATGACATTGTGCAGACTAAACAATAGCCATCAGTGCTAAGCAGTTGCCAGAGTTGCTTTACAACTTCCAAATCTTGTTTCTACCAGCCAACTTTTCATGCATCCTCTTGTACTCTCAGATAATCACATTACCGCAGAAGGTGCACAAATGCCCTGACACCAAAAAGAAAAACCCAGTTATTAACAGAAGTCATTGATCAGATCATCATGATTTGAGAAAGCTCTGTATGTATTCTCTATTCCTGAAACAATTTAGGAAAAAGTTGCTGTTGAAAGGTTTTGAGGAATAGAGGCTGGATTGGAAACATAACTCTAAATTACTGTTTTTAAATCACTTGAACATAATTGGCATTTCCTTCCAAATATGAACCTCAGAATAATAACAGTAAGTTCCAGACCCATGAATGCTATCACAGTTACAGAGCTACTGCTGGTCACTAGAAGATCTCTGGTGAAAAACTTATGGCGGACTACCATTTTTTCAGGGGCTATGATTTTGGAACTTGTTAATGGTAGTGAATTGAGCCAAATTTAGATTAAGGGATCTTCTTACATACGGTGGTGGATTGTGAAGACTATATTTACACTGAAATTATTCCAATTTTAGTTTACAATTAACTCCCCAATAAATCATTTAATAATGAATGCTCTATTGCCCCTAGTTGGTTGAGAAACTATGAAGACTTTTTTTTCTTCTTCCCTTTCAGTTTTCCTAAAGCTGTTTCAGTTGCCTAGATTCTTGCCTATGTATTATAGTTTGGATGTCTGTCCCCTTTAAATCTTATGTTGAAATTTGATTTGAATGAGTTTGATTTGAAATTTGATTCCCAGTGTTGGAGATGGGGCCTGGTGGGAGGTGTTTGGATCATTAGGGATGCATCCTTCATAAATGCCTTGATGTTATTCTCACAGTAATTAGTGAGTTCTTGCTTTATTAGCTCCCAGGAAATTTAATTGTGAAAAAGAGCCTGGCTCCTTCCTCCCATCTCTCTTTCCTCTTTTCTTACAATGTGATGCCTGATCCTGTTCACCTTCCTATATGAGTGGAAGCTTCCTGAGATCCTCACCAGAAGCAGACGCTAACACTATGCTTCTTATATAGCCTGCGGAACTGTGAGCCAAATAAATCTCTTTTCTTTATAAATTACCCAGCCTCAGGTATTTCTACATAGCAACACAGATAAACCAAGACACCATCTTACCCCATTTCCATGTGAATTTTACTGAATTTTCACTACCCACATCCCTAGGTAACCATTTTGATAGCCTTCATTGGTTTCTTTGAAAAAAATAATGTATTTCTTTCTCCTCCCTAGATAAACTTTTTGTAGAGTGGGCTTCCATAATTTCGTATTTTCTTTTCCTTATCAGAATTCTTCTAGTAAGTGTTTTCTTTAAATGTCTCTATTTTCAAAGTTTGGTGTTCAGATTCTCTCCTTCTTTCTCCGTACTGTCACCCTGGACAATTTTATCCACAAATTTATTTTTAATTATATTCTATGTGTTGATGGATCCTAAAGATATAGATTTTATTTTAACTTATTTCCTTTATTCAAGGCAAGTTTTTCTATTTGACTGCTGGGGATTTTCCCTCAAATACACGTTTCATCACCTCAAAGTCATCACAACAGACCTTATTGTCTTTTTTCAACCAGTTCTGTTTGTCCATTGATTTCTGTTATCTCTCTTGCAGTTAAAGCCATTCAACTTCTGCAACAACTTTACTTCTTCTCTTCTCTCTCATAAGAGTCAGTCAAAAGATGTACTCTGTTCTTGCCTTTTAGCATTTTTCAAGTCTCTCTAACTTCCTCTAATAACTTCCTCTATTCCTACTAATAGAGACAGGAGGCAGAAAACCCCACCTTCAAACCTAAAATAGCCTGAAGGCTGAAAAACCAGACTGCCTTCCTGGATGAAGGCCCCCTTTTTCCTTGAGGGATTCTTTCTGAATAATGCCCACCTGTGTACTGGGAGGACAGGGCGGGGCCTTGGGAAGTTCGCCCAGTTTGCAGAGGAGAGGAGCCTGGCCTCTCCTGTTCCTGGGTGGTAACCTGGGATTCAATCTGTGAGATGGGGGCCTGTTAACAGGAACCCCTCTTGCTCTGCTGAGTTTTTTTCCTTTTTGCCCAATAAATTCCACTCCCCCTCACCCTTCGAAGTGTCTCTGAGCCTAATCTTTCATGGTCATGTGACAAGAACCCAGTTTTTCTACAACACTACTACTGCTGTTATCTTAGTTGAAGACATAATTTCTCTCACTTACATTCCTTTAATAACCCATAAAAACATCTTGCTAGCTCAAGCCCTGCCCTAAACCAATCCATTGTCTTCATTGTGGTCAGAATAATTTTACTGAAGTACAATCATAGTCCACTCCCCTGATTTCCAATCATGAATTGGCTTGTCTTATAAGATTTTTGTCATCTAGCCTGTGACTGGCTACATATGTTTTTTCTGTATTCTCCCATGTATCCTCTACTTCTGTGTTGCTATAGGATCATCTTCATTTCACTGATGCTGACTCCTTGAAAAGCCCTTCCAACTTCCTTCTCTTTCTTCTTTTATATATTAAGGATTCTCTTCTATCTTTCCTTCCCTGTATTCATAGTGTTGAAATTATCTATTTGCTTGCTGTTTTCTCCTATTAGGCAAGGAACAATATAAAAATCATAAGCTACACACCAACTTCATTTTAGTGGGTAGATACTGTATGAAACTCTGTGTTGAGAAGATTTCTGAAGTTTGACTAATCCTACTGGAGGAAACATAAAAAGAGTGAATATTAATGTCTACTCTGAACAAGTGAGCAATGGACCTGCTTTTTTGCATCACGTATATTATTTTAATTTTACACCCATTCTCTGTGGAACATAATCCCAGTTTTTCAAATGAGAAGAATAAGATTACTAAAGTACCTTCTTATAAAAGGACATATAATAAATGGCAAAGACAAGATTAACCTGATGTTCTCTAACTTGAAATACCCTATTTCTTTCAGAAACACATTCTACCCCCAATGTTCACAGAATTAATAGATTAACTGTCATACCTGATATACATCCAGACCAGTAACAAATATTGTGAGACTAAAAAGGATCTAAAAGAAGACATTATCCCTGCACTCAAAGAGATTATGTGAATCAGACAAAATATGAAATAGACAAGATTTGATTCTGCATTCTTTACTGTTTGAGAACAGCCAATGACAGAAAGGAAATGGAAATATTTAAAACTTACAAGCTTGTGATAATGATGATGTAAAAGCAGAAGCTATGTAATCTCTCCTGAAGTTAATTACCCTTCATTAAGACAAATCTCATTCTTTTTTAGAAAAACAGACCACCTCCTGTCCATTAGGCCTTGTTATTCCTGGCATCCTTTAGCTTCCTTGAGGAAAGGTAGAATGAATGATGACCTTGCTTTCGGAGCTACAATTGGGTGGTGGGAATTATCATGATTCCCTTCTACAGAAAGGACATGAAAGGTACAAGAAAGAACTTTGACTCAATTCAGCCATGTATAGATTCAAATTCTTGTTTTACCAGTTATAAAACTTACTAGTTTTATAATATTTATAAGTAATATATTCTTACTGAGCCTAACTTTCCTTGTCTATAAATTGAGGATGATGATACCTACTTCCCAGGATTTCCTTGTGTGAAGATTAAATAAATAGCGCATGCAAAGTGCCTCGCATGAAGTAAGTGATCATGAAATAATAAGAACTGGTAGCAATGATGATGTTAATAATGACAATGACTAGGGGATAATGATGATGCCATGAATGACTTTGGTTGGGATGCAGACCCAGGCCCTCCAAGCTCTTTATCCCAAATATAGCTCTGAACCCTGGGTAGTCTCTCCAGGCCTCTTTGGCCTTCATTTTCTTTGACCCTCTGCCAGCATGTAAATGCTACACCACAAAATTTATTTCAGAAGCTCATTCCACGTTGAAGAGTTAACTTCTGCTTGATGTAGCCTCATACTCAAGAATAGCAGTCACACATTGATTTTTAGAATATTTTGTAGTTCACAGATTTTTTTCTTAGTAAACCAATTAATAGAACACACTTGAAAGAATGCCTGGCACATATTAAGTGCTATATAAATGTTATCTGTTTTCAGTATTCATGTGACTATGAATATTATTTGTTAGATCATTTAATTCTTGCAACAACATACTATGAATAGGTAAAGCCAATTTACTAGTGTCATTTGAACATATTAAGACAACAAATCTAACAAAAGTCTAGTGATTTTGAGCACCTACCTCTGTGTTCAAGGGCAGGGTATTTTCTGCTTAAGATTATTCTCCCCAGTGCCTAGTTCAGGACTGCTCACACAGCAGGTGTTTGGTCAATATTGGTAAAGTTTACATAGATGATATATAGGGGCCATAGGAAGATATTGACTCGGGAGCCGAATTGAGTCTATGCTAAGAATAGCAATGCATATTAACGTCAAAATAAGAATTAACAACTTTCTTCAAACATTTATGTACAGACAAAATAAAGGACTAGTTAAATATAGATACTGTAGGAACTGCTTGAAAGCATTGCTTAAAATCACAAGGTCTTGGGTATCCACTGACCCTTCAAATATCCTCAAATGACTTTCATTTACTTGTTTTTGTTACTTTTAAGAGATGTCTGAAAAGGGCTGGTAATCAATACTGTACTTAGACAGCTGGACAAAAGATAAAAATGCCCAGGCCCTTGACTGGGGCAAGAATGATTGAGATGCTCTCGTGATTCTCTCTTAAGATATGGTCCACCTACTGAGAAGACCTTGTCCTTTTCCTGTATATACAGGTTGTGGTAGAAAAAGGCAAAAACCTAGAAACTAGCAGCTGTACTTGCTCACAAAATCCTGTCATAGAAACATGTAATTGAGGCTAAAGGAAAAAGAAAGAGTTCCATATTAACCTATCCAAATGGTGGAAGACCATTTAACAGTCTCTAGAGGGAACCAACCCGTGGCAGGCCATGCACTGGGGGTGAGGTGGGGAGGTCTGTGCTACACAAATAATTCATAGAGCTATGTTTTTTTGTTTGTTGTTTTACAACAGTGTTTATCACTCAGTGTGGAACATTATTTTGACAAACATACCATGGTAATTAAGATGATAATTGATGAAGGAGTCCATAGGATATCTCTGCACTATTTTTATAACACTTCTGTAAATTTAAAATTATTCAAAAATAAAAAGTTTATTTTAAAAGGTCTGACAAATTTCCCATGCTACTGTGGCAAGAAAATGCAGAGGATGACTGAGGTAGTCAGGCAGTATTTTCAAGAGATGGTAGTACTTGAGCTAAAAATTAAAAAAAAAAAAATAAGGGCTGGGTGCATTGGCTCACACCTGTAATCCCAGCACTTTGGGAGGCTAAGACAGGCAGATCACGAGGTCAAGAGACCGAGACCATCCTGGCCAACATGGTGAAACCCCATCCCTACTAAAAATACAAAAACTAGTCAGGCGTGGTGGTGTGTGCCTGTAGTCCCAGCTAATCGGGAGGCTGAGGCAGGAGAATCACTTGAACCCAGGAGGCCAAGGTTGCAGTGAGCTGAGATCACGCCACTGCACTCTAGCTTAGTGACAGAGTGAGACTCCATCTAAAAAAAAAAAAAAAAAAAAGTAGTGGTAAATAAGGTGGATAAAGGATAGAAAAGCATGTGTTTAGTAAGCTAGTTTTTTTACCCAATAATATTTCACAGACATCTAAGTCAGTTGCTAAAAATCTTTATCATTTTTGTTGGGTTTATCATAGTTCTTGGAATAAACATGAGAGTTACTTATTTCTTTATGATCATTTTTCTCCTTTTTTAACCAGATCTACAGGAAACTTACAATACTATTTCCACTTATATTTTAAATACCTGTTTAATTTTTTTCCTACTAAACTATTATGTTTCCAAGGACAAAAACCGTGTTTATCTTTTTCACTCCTTAAGTCCCCAAGATATAGTACAAAGTTGAATAAATGAGGATATAGAACATGCAAAGACATGGAATGAAAAAGTAGCAAGGAGTGTAAGAGACTTGCAAGCAGTTTTCTACAACTGGAGTAAAGGACTCTTATTGTGGAATTTTGAGAGGCAGGGAATTAATTGAAGAGGTTGACATTCATTCTCTAGGAATCATCAAAATGTTTATTTTGGACCCAGTCTGTGTTAGTCCATTTTCACACTGCTATAAAGATGCTACCTGAGACTTAGTAATTTATAAAGGAAAGAGGTTTAATTGACTCCCAGTTCCATATGGCTGGGGAAGCCTCAGGGAACTTACAATCATGGCAGAGGGCAAAGGAGAAGCAAGTACCTTCTTCACAAGGTGGCAGGAGAGAGAGAGAGCAAAGCGGAGACTGCCACACACTTTTAAAACCATCAGCTCTTGTGAGAACCCACTCACTATCATGAGAACAGCATGGGGGAACCGTCCTTATGATCCATTTATCTCCCACCAGACCCTTCCCTTGACACCGGGGGATTGCAACTTGAGATGAGATTTGTGTGGGGACACAGAGCCAAACCAAATTACAGTCTATATTATGCACTGTAACTACAAATAGAAGGAAAACATTAGCTGTTCAGTCAGGAAGTTTATGGGATTGCAGGGCCCACAATATAAGGGAATTTTTTTCCTCTTCATCCTAAAGACTACTGGAAGTCTTTGAAGTATTTTAAGTAGGAACTTCAGAAAGATCTTTGAATCAGTGGTTCTCCTGCAGAAGGAAACCGAGAGAGAAGGGCAATATTAGGAAACAGAGACTCCATTAGAAGTTTCTTGCAACATAAAAATAATGAGAGATTCCACAAAATTACTTGAGTGGAGACTGAGAAGTGGCTGCAGGGGTCACTGATATTAGGAGGATGTGATGTGGAGGCAGCTGGGAGAGGATTTTCAGAAGGAGAGGGCGGGATTGAGATCTATCTGGAGGTTGTATCAGCTCTGCTCTATAACTGACTAGATGTGGAGGGCGATGAGCAGAGAAATTGAGTATGATTCTCAAGTTAATGGCTTCCATCACTGGCTGGGTGAAAATGGCAGACAGTAAAGAAAGTAAGATAGAAGACAGTGCAATCTGTTGTGTTTTTGGGATGGGTTAGTCAAACTCATTGTGGTGGAGATAACTTCAAGACCCTAGGTGAAGGTGCCCAGTAGATAGTTGAGGACACTGGTCTCTAGGGAGAGAGCTGTGGGCTATAGATATAGACCTCTGACTGAGTAGTATATGAGTTAATATTACACGAAGTGTCACTGTAAATGAGACCCCCTCAAGGAGAGTAGGTAGAAGAGAAGAGAATCCAGAGTGAGCTCCGGAGAGCAACAGCATTTAAGATGGAAAAGAAGAAGAGCATGAGAAAGAAACACATTTAGAAGTCAAGATGAGGACGATGAATGGGAGATAGGTGAAAAATTTGGGAGAGCCTACCGAAGTATGATTGAGGAAAGAAAAAGTATTCAACACTGCAAGGTGCAAATGAGTGTTAAAGTGATGAAGCCTTCGTAAGTGATAGGATTCTTCAGTTAGGGTGCCATTCACAGCCTTAATTAGAGCAATGCCAGACACTTTACTCAGATAATTGCATTTAATTTATACAGTAGCTGATGAAGCAGGTAATATAATCCTAATTTTACAGATGAAGAAACAGTAGCTTAACTAACTGACTCACAGACATGCAACTAGTTATCAGCAAAGCTCAGATTCAGACTTAGGAAAGCCGATGCTGAAAACTGCACTCTGAATAACTAAGCTCTACGGTGCCACCCACTGACGCATCTAATTAATTTCAATTCAGCATGTCACTTCACAGTTTAGGGTTTTGTTTTGTCCTCTAATTTTCCATAAGCACAAATATTAGTTCACCAGCACTATTCTAAAGCATCATCAGAACTGAGTGAGACATATATGTTGCTGTGTGTTGGCGTCAAGTTTTTAGCCAAAAGCAAGGTAGTCCCCATAGGTGTCCCGTAAATTCCATTAAATACATGATATTGAAAAGAAATGAGCATTTGAGGTGTTAGAGTAAATGCAGATCAGCCAGGTTGTCCTCCAATGACACACATAGCAGCTCGAAAGAACAATGCCAACTATTGACTGTGCTCCCTGGTCCTAAGCATTAGATCATTGCGTTTCTCTAATGATTTATGTGTGAAATTTCCAAGGTTATATGAATAGGCCACAAACAGACTTTGATATACCCATAATGGGTTAATAATGCATACTCCATACTTAATGCATAAGAAAGTAAACCACAGAAATTCCACAAAAAAGGACAAACATCTCTGGTGAGCAGTTCCTCTGAGCTTAGAGTCTGGAACATACTATTGTGGAAGGAAAATGCTTTTAATCTTCCTGCTGATGAATAAATCACAGTTTTTAAAAATATTTTAAAACATTTGAACAGCACCACCCCAGGACTTCATACAAGCTCTATTTTTCAGTTCCATCAGCATGCAAGCCATTCTCTTAATTGTGTACATAACCACGTACATAAGCAATGCCATGGATTTTGCACACTTCTGAACAATGGGCACCCTAGATATCTTGCGTGTAATACCGGCTGCCATGGTGCAATTAGAGGAGAAATAAATCTTACCATCTTGATGACAGCCTGTGCATCCAAAACCAGGCAATATAGATGGCTTTGAGAAAGCGGAATCTTGTATTCTTTGACAATGTAATTATTATGCTCTGTCAGCTCATTTGACTTTTTCATAAAAATCACTTAATACTTCACAAGGATATTACTTTTGCCATCAAATATCACTTTTGGAAATGTTAGTAATTTAGGAACTCCTATATTAAAAATGGCTAATTCAGTAAGTACATGAAATGCCATAATCTGAGAGGCCTTCTAACCTAAAAGATTTCCCCCTCCCCAAGCTTTATTAAGATATAATTAGCATACAAAACACTGCACATAATTAATGTATCCCATTTGGTGAGTTTAGACATATGTAAATTTTACTCCTGTTACCATCACCACAACCCAAGTAATAAATAGATCCACCGCCTCTAAAAATTGAATACTTCAGTCCCACTGTAAGACGCTGGGGAGAACAAAGGGCTCCATTAAGGAGCTATGGTCTGGTATTTAAAGGCTAAATAGTCAACAACTCAATTACAAATGATTTAGGAAAGTGCTGAAGCTATATTTAGTAGAGAGTTTTCTTCTCCAGCACCAACCTTACATGTTATTATATGCTAATTTTTAGAAATTTAAATCTAAAGACTTGTCTAGTAAAGACTCTTTTTGAGTTGAATGAAGTTCTTGGGCAATAGAAATTGCATATTTCACTTTTTTTTAGTTGCCTTTCTAAATTTACTTACATAAGATAAAATTCACTCTGTTTGGGGTAGATTACTGTGAATTTTGACAAAGGCTTTCAGTCTTGTAACCACCACCACAATCAAAACACAGAGCAATTCTGTCACCCCTAAAATTTGTGCTACCCCTTTATAGTCAATCTCTCTCTCCATCCCCAGCCCCTGACAACTACTGATCTATTTTTTGTTCCTATAGTTTTGCTTTCCACACTGTTGTATACTAGTTCGTTAATTTTTATTGATGAATAGTATTCCATTGTATGGAATATCATAGCTTTTATATCCTAAAAACTTGCATTTGTGATGTGATGATGGCAATGATAATAATAGTGACATCTGACATTATGTGAATGCTTATTGTGACTCAGGCATTGCTCCAGCTCTGTCAACATGCTACCTCATAAAATTTCCTCATCATATGAAATAGGCAATATTATTATTTCAGTTTAGAGAATAGAAAAAGGAGGCAAAGAGTATTAAGTAACCACCCTAGGATCACACAATTTGTAAATGTCACAGCCTATATTCAAATATGGGCAGTCTGACTTCAGGACCTAACATAATAACCACCATCATAAACTGCTTCCCCAGTAATAGCTACCAATTATTGATCATCTGCCCTTGGGCTCCATGGCAAGCATTTCCTTGATCCATTTTCACATGAATAAGGTAGGATGTGGAAAATGAGACTTACAGAGACTAAGCAATTTGCTCCAAATCACTCTGATAATGTTACCTAATTTTTAACCAAATCATAAAAACTGGGTCTTATTACCTTTAAAGGTATTTAATTTTGATTAGTTTCTGGATTTCAATTTTTTTATTATTATTTTCTCCTATGACATTGCATTTCCAATTCGTCTCAGCATGCACAGAGTCTTTTGGAGTTGGACTAACTTGTTGGGCATTGGTACAAATCATCTTCCAGGGTTTAAGATTAGATAATAAAATATATTTGGTACAAAAGAGACCTTGTATCTATCTTGATTTATCCCTGCCTTTGTGAAATTGAAGGGATGAAAAAAAATCTGCTATCTGAATTAAACTCCACGGAGTGACATGTGGAAAAAATTTATATACGTTTTAACTTTGGGTTGTTCCTCAAGAGGTTAAATCTTTGTTCCAGAATGCAGATAAAAATAAATTTTGCTGCTAGATTGCTTATGTTATCACCTTATCATGAGCACTGTAGAATTGGAAGCAAAAATCTCCAGTACAGATGTCTACAGGGAGAATGTGATTGTATTTTTCAATTTGTATTTATAGTAATAATAATGCACTCAGCTCACATCTTTAAGGAAAAGGCCTCGAAGTACTTTACGTATTTTAATTAACCCTCACTGTACTCAGTACATAGACAGTATATCAATTTTATTAATGCATAGCACATGGAGAGCAAATTTAAGGCCTTAGGTTCAAAGTCATGGCATGCTGGTAATGATAATAATGTTTCATGGTGGAGACAGATCTGTGAAAAGAAAGAATAGGAAACAACCCAGCAAACTCCGTGGTCTGACATGTCAGCAGCGTTGCACCCTTGCACGCTCCAATGGTCCTTTGCATTACAAATTTCTCAATATAAGAAACATCCTGAATATCCTGAGTATTCTTTCCTACTGTCCTCTCTGGATTTATTAACAGAGTGTAAATGTCAAACATGGGGGAAGGTGTGAAGAATGGAGGGCTCATCTCTTTTCTGAACAACCCTAAATACTCTGGTCAAATTTCAAACAATTCCTGGTTAGACATTTGGATGCCTTTGATTTTGAGTCCTACATACATTCTCGTTATCATAAGAGATATGCCACAGGAAAAAAAGACATGTTCTGAGGCAGAGTTACAAGACCAGATAGGGCAGAACGGGATTTTGATATTTGATATTGTTTTTGGATCTTCAGACTAATGGTAGGTAATACCTATTTGTGAATTTAAGCTCAATTATAAGGGGAAATTTTTTTTTTCAGATAATTGGGGTCATCCAGGGTGAATGAGCTTATCTAGAAGGGAGTGAATTAAGAAGAGGAGATTCCTGCGTTGAGTGGGTGATTGAACTACATGCAAAGCAAGGCTTCCTCCAGTTCTAAGGAACTAACTGGAAAACTGATTTGAACTTTTATTTAACAGCTTTATTAAGGTTTAATTCACATAGAATAATCTTTATATATATATGTAATATACAATTTAAATGTTGTTTGTTTTTAACATCTTAGTCATTTTATGTGTACAGTTGAGTAGTGTTAAGTACATTCACATTGTCGTACACCAATTCACCAGAACATTTCCATCTTGTAAAACTGGAACTCTATACCCACTAAACAACCATTCCCCATTTCCACTTCCTCCCAGTCCCTGCAACAACCACTCTACTTTCCGTTTTTATGGATTTGACTACTTTTGATACCTCATATGTGGAAGCATACAATATTTGTCTTTTTGTTACTGACTTCGCTTAGCCTCGTGTCCTCAAGTTTCATCCATGTTATAGCATATGGCAAGATTTTCTTTCTTGTTAAGGCCAAATAATATTCCACTGTTTGTATAAACATTTTGTTAATCTATTCATCTGTAGATGAACATTTGTGTCGCTTCCACTTCTTGGCTATTGTGAATAATGCTGCTATGAATATAGGTATGCAAATAGTAATTTGAGATCCTGTTTTTCATTATTTGAAATATGCACCCAGAATGGGGATTGCTGGATCTTACGGCAATTCTATTTTTAATTCTTTTAAAGAATTGTCATACTATTTTTTTAAAGTGCCTGCATAATTTTTCATTCTCACCAATAGTGTACAAGGTTTCCCTTTCTCCACATCCTCTTTAACGTTTGTTCATTTCTATTTGTAGTAGCCATCTTAATGGGTGTGAGGTATAGGTTAAACTTTTATAACTAGAAATTTAAGAACTGAGAACCATACAGTTTTTCTGGCTCAGATTATTATTATTCTGTTCCTAATGATAAGTTTGACCTTGTAGAAGCAACTTCACCTCTCCTTGCAAGTTTTCTAAAATATTAAATAAGAATAATAATGCATATCTTAAAACCAAACAGGCACTTGAACCTGTTCCACACATCATACACGTATGATACGTGATCATCTGTGATACAATTTATATAAGTATATATAATATAGTTAACCATATAAATATATATAACTATAACTATAGTTATATATAGAGAGATAGAAATACAGCTGATTACATGTGATAATTACATGTGATTCAATTTGCATATATAATAAGCTATACTAAGCAGGTATATGGTAACTTTCTTGATAAGCATCCCTCTACAGAGAAAGACTCTTCCTTTCTCTGTTTTACTTACCCACTTCACTGGGATCACTTCTCACATTAACTCCTTGCCTGGAATCCCTGTCTCAGGGTCTGCTATGGGAAAACCAAAATAAGACAAATATCTATTCACTCTTACTCATTCAGATATAATACCTAAAGTGTAAATTAGGGAGTGAATATTTGATGGACCTAGTATAGTTCTTGGCAGTTATCTTTATTATATTATACTCATCATGGAGTGTGAGGAATGCTTCATAATCCATTATCAGTACCCTATCTTTTCTTCTAGAGGAATAATGATAGACATGTATACAGCACTACACAGAGGTTGAGAATAACAGGCCTGAGCAAAACCAATCACAGCTCAAGGGGCATTTTTTTTCATATCTATTAGCAAATATAAGGGCTGTATTTGACAGTCTCTTTTTTTCCTCAGCTTTTTCTCTTCTGATCATCATAAGATGAGGTGGGGTGAAACAGCAATAGAATAACAGCGATGGAATTAATGCTGTGCAGGTTTGAAGAGCATTTGTCCTACTAAGGCCAATTCCTGGGAAGAATGATGTGGAGGGTGGATTTTTCTGCGACTGAGGTCTGCTTGGAATACCGTGGTCTACTGCGAGTGGATTGGAAACAAATAATTTTACCAGCCAAAATGTACTATAGGTATGAGGGTGCACCCTCCAGTTTTCTTATGAAACCCTTCTTCTTATTGATTTATGCCTGCTCTAGTCTATCTCAATAATCACCTAGATACTATTCCTGAAGGATTAAAAATGAAAGAAATCAATATGTTCAACCTGTGTCTGACAGCAATCTCTGCACAACTCAAGGTACAAATCAAAGCCTTCTCCATTAAGTCCTCCCTACAATTCACCCATTTCCAGGCCATATTCATTCTACTCTCCGATGTATTTCCATTGCATTCTATACTTACTTCTGCCACAGTAACTAAATTTTGTCTTAGATTCCACTTACTGTCACCCTGGTTTGAATGTAAGCTCCTAAAGGATAGGAACTAAGCTCTTTTCTTCTTGCCTTCTCTGGGAACCATTATAATGCTAGGAATATATGCATAGATAAAAGTTTTAATGTCTAATATTGAGTTTATAAACTGTCTTATTTTCAGTTATTCTGGGGAGCAATTGACATTATAGACCAAATACTCCACACTAGCATTGTGCTAAATGCTTTATAAATGTCAATTCATTTCATCTCACAAACACTCTATCATTTATCTTACACTGTACAACAGACATCGAAAACTTGGTTCTTAAAACAAAAGCTACTAAGTCTCTGAAGTTGCTGATCAGAGAGCACAGCCTTCAGAATGCGCTAAGTCAACCTCAGTTGACAGCGGTTTTAGCAGGTCTCTCTCAGACGCTCCCTGATCTCTTTGCTAAGTTCTATGTCCCTGTTGGCATCACATCGACCTTTTAGTTTCTTCTATTTGATGCTCGATTCTGCCAGTGTTACCAACTATGCCCTAGGGCATAAATTACTACACAATCTGAACCAATTAAATTGGAGCTCTTTTGCTGAGGTAGTTTTTGAGACTAGTCTTTGAGGTTTGTTCTGTCCCTGGAGAAGCTCTTCTTAGTGGTCTCTTTTCATTTTTCTCTCTGGTAAACTAGCTAGTCTGTGGTTTAGC
Source organism: Homo sapiens (assembly GCF_000001405.40). Classification (NCBI taxonomy): domain Eukaryota; kingdom Metazoa; phylum Chordata; class Mammalia; order Primates; family Hominidae; genus Homo; species Homo sapiens. Next base: position 107,403,214 of record NC_000010.11, on the reverse strand, counting down.
TACATGCCTTTTCTCATTTGCTTGCCATCCAATCTTAAGTGGGGGAAAGCGGGGAAGCACCCTTAGGCTTGAGCTATTCCAGGTTCTTTTTCAAATAAAGTTTGTTTATTTGGGGACAGCTTCAGAGCTCTCTGCCCTTGTGGACTAGTTCTACCAGTGAGGAAATTCTCTCAATTACTGATCTGAAGCTGCAGATTCAGGAACAGTGGTCCACTTTTCTTATAGGGTACCTCTGCTTGATGAGAAGAGAGCCATGTTGGGGAAGTACCTTCTAGTCTTCTGGCTTGCCTTTCCCCATTTGGAAGCTTCACTCTGTGAGTGAGCTGTAAAAGGGCAATTGGAGCCCTATTTTCATTAGCCTGCTGTGCCTAGTATAGAGCTTCTGCTCTATTTGTAAGGGGAAGAAGGGCCACACTCTTGGCCACACTCTCTTGGATTTGAGCCTCTGTAATTTACTTGGAGGATGTGAGTGAGCTTGTAGGGATGGGGATGAGAAATGACCAACTCTCTTGAGGGAGATATTGACCTTATCCTTTATTTTGGAGTTCAGAATAGAAGGAACCCTGTTTTTCTTGAGCACATCCTCCCAAAGTGGGGGCATCCATGATGCTGATCTGGAAACATTAGGATGAGAGGAGCAAGTTATAACTCATATCACACAGACTCTTGCTGTTCTCACTGAGGTTTAATGGATTTTCTTTTAAGAAATGTTTCTTCACCCCACAAGCACAGGCAACCAAAATAAAAATGGACAAATGGAATCACACTAAGTTTAAAAGCTTCTGAAAAGCAAAGGAAACAAACAACAAAGTGAAAAGACAACCTACAGAACATGAGAAAATATTTGTAAACTACCCATCTGACAAGGGATTAATGGGTAGAAAATATAAGGAGCTCAAACAACACTTTTGGAGAAAAATCTAATAATCAGATCGAAAAATGGGCAAAAGATCTGAACAGACACTTCTCAAAAGGAGACATACAAGTGGCAAACAGGCATATGAACAGGTGCTCGACATCACTGATCATCAAAGAGATGCAAATCAAAACTACAATCAGATATCATCTCACCCCAGTTAAACTGGCTTTTATCCAAGAGGAAATCAATAACAAATGCTGGCAAGGATGTGGGGAAAAAGGGAACTCTCACGCACGGTTGGTGGGAATGTAAATGTATACAACCACTATGGAGAAGAGTTTGGAGGTTTCTCAAAATACTAAAAATAGAGATGCCAGCAATCCCTTTGCTACGTAAATACCCAAAAGAAAGGAAATCAGTATATTTAAAAGATATCTATACTCTCATGTTGTTCACAATAGCCAAAACTTGGAAGTAGCCTCAATGTTCATCAACAGATGAATGGATAAAGAAAATATGATACTTATACATAATGAAGTACTATTCAGCCATAAAAAGAGTAAGGTCCTATCATTTGCAACAACATAGATGGAACTGGAGATCATTGCATTAAGTGAAATAAGCCAGGCACAGAAAGACAAACTTCACATGTTCTCACTTATTTGTGGGAGATAAAAATTCAAACAATTGAACCCATGGAGATAGAGAATAGAAGGAAGGTGACCAGAGGCTGGGAAGAGTAGTAGGGAGGGTGGAAAGGAAATGGGGATGGTTAATGGGTATAAAAAGTCATTAGAAAGAATGAATAATACCTAGTATATGATAGCACAACAGGGTGACTATAGTCAATAATAATTTAATTGTACTTTTACAAATAATTAAAAGAATATAATTGGATTGTTTTTAACAAAAGGATAAATGCTTGAGGTGATAGATGCCTCATTTCCCATAATATGATTATTACATATTGCATGCCTGCCTCAAGGTATCAAATGAACCCCATAAATATACACACCTATTATGTACTCACAAAAATAAAAAATAAAAATGCTTCTTCATTTGTTGTATGCTCTTAAGACAATTCCAAAACTTTAACTCTTTTTAAATTAGAAATTTTACCAGTTACACTTGTTTTTCCCAGAAGCAGGTCCATGTAGCTGTTGATGCCGCTATTCCAAAAGCAGAACTTCTCATCATCCTGTGATTTTAAGTTAGAAAATTGAACAAAATCTATGAAACAGCTGTTTTGGGGCATTGAGCAATATTACTGTGTGGCTCTGTTCCTTGAGAAAGAAGAAATAAATAAGCTGAGCCCTATGGTAACCCCAGGCTATCTACCTAGGAACACTTTCCAGACAAAATTGCATGGGTAGAAAGGCTAAGGAGAATGCAGTAGTCTCATTGAGTTGAAATTACAGTTCTAGGTACTGAGGTGGCTGGAAATGAAGGTACTATAAGAGACTTCTTGAGTCTTTGTCTAAAAACTAAGCAGCAAGTATGTAAGATTAAAGAAAATGAGGATGAACAAGAACAATTTCTGGGGTAAAAATGATAACTACCTGAGAGCTGTCAGCTCAAAAAAACTTTCTAAATCTCACACAAAGCTAAGAGATGCTCACATTCAGCCAGATTAGATAAAGGAAACTTATTCAAAATACAGGTTATTCATAGATGCCAACAATTTCATCACTTATGAAGTGGATTAAACTAGACCTAGTATGACTATTACTCTTTAGGACTTAACATAGCATAAAAACAATCTAAAGAGTATCAAGTAGTTCAACAAGTAACTTAACTGACACCTGAAAAAAACCCCAAAGTACCTTCAAAGAAGATGAGAAAAGCAATGTCACTCAACAATGTCACTCAACAATGTGACATTAAAAACATCTGACATCCAATAAAAATTACTAGACATATGAAGAAGCAAAAAAAATTGATGTACATTTGTGCTTATATCAATGATTCATACCTTTTTTATTCCTCAAATGTATTTCATTGTATGAATATACACAAATGTTAATCTATTGACATTTGGCTGTTTCAGCTTTTTATCATAAATAAAGATGCTGATGCTGGGATAACTGATTCTCCGTATGCAGAAGATTGAAACTGGACCCCTTCCTTACACCATATTCAGAAATCAACTCAAGATGAATTAAATACTTAAATGTGAAACCCAAATCTATAAAAATTCTGAAAGATAACCTAGCAAATACCATTCTGGACATAGGACCTAGCAAAGATTTCATGATGAAGATGCCAAAAGCAATTGTAACAAAACCAAAAATTGACAAATAGGACCTAATTAAGAAACTCTTTTTCAACGTAGTAAACAGAAAACCTACAGAATGGGAGAAAATATTTGCAAACTATGCATCCAACAAATGTCTAGTATCTATAAGGAACTTAAAAAGAGTTACAAGCAAAAAACAAACAACCTCGTTAAAAAAAAACAGACAAAAATCCAACAAAGGTCAGAATCTACAAGGAATTAAAAAGAGTTACAAGCAACAAACAAACAACCTCATTGTAAAAAACAGACAAAAGACATGAATAGACACTTTTCAAAAGAAGACATACATGTGCCCAACAAACATATGACAAAATACTCAACAGCACTAATCATTACAGAAGTGCAAATCAAAACCACGAAGACATACATCTCACACCAGTTAAAATAATTTTTATTAAAAAAACAAAAAATTACAGATGCTGGCAAGATTGTGGAGCGAAGGGAATGTTTATACACTGCTGGCGCAAATGTAAATTAGTTCAGCCATTGTGGAAAGCAGCTGGGTGATTTCCCAAAGAACTCAAAACAGAATTACCATTTGACCCAGCTATCGCGTTATTGGGTATATACCCAAAGGAATATAAATCATTTTACCATAAAGACTCATGCATGCATTCATTCACTGAAGCACTATTCACAATAGCAAAGACATGGAATCAACCTAAATGCCCATCAATGGTACACTGGATAAAGAAAATGGAATACTATGCAGCCACAAAAAAAGAATGAGATCATGTCCGTTGCAAAAACATGGGTGGAGCTGGAGGCCATTATCCTAAGCAAACTAACACAGGAAGAGAAAACTTAATACCACACGTTCTCACTTATAAGTGGAAGCTAAACATTGAGTACATATGGACACAAAGAAGGGAACAACAGACAGTGGGGCCTACTTGAGGGTGGAGGGTGGGAGGAGGGTGAGGATTGAAAAACTACCTATTAGTACTGTGCTTATTTCCTGGGTAATAAAACAACCTGTACACTAAGCCCCTTTGATACAAACTTTGCCTATATAACAAAACTGCATATGCACTCCCGAACCTAAAAAGGTGAAAAAAAAAGTAAACCGATTTTAAGTTGTTAATATATCTATACATCTGTAGTTGTAGCACTAGTGATTGATTTAATAAATTTATAGTTGCAAGCATGAAATAAAAGATTACAGCTCAGCAAAAAGTATATACATAAATAAAGGTGCTGTAAATATTTTTGCATAAGACTTTTGGTAAATACAAGTGTTTATGTATTTTGAAGCTCTATTTGGTGCATACTATTTAGAAAAATTATATCTTCTTAATGAATTAACCCTTTCATAATTATGAGATTATTCCTCTTTATCTCCAGTAACATTTCTTTTTCTAAAGTCTACTTTGTCTGATACTAATATAGCCAGTCCAGTTTTCTTATAATTAAAAATTGCATGTTATACATCTTCATTCCATCCTTTTACTTTTTTTCTATGGCTTTATCTTTAAACTCCATTTTTATAGACAATGGATGGTTGGGAAATACTATTTATGAAGTTCTATAATCTCTTTCCTTTGATTGGAATGTTCAGATCATTTCAATTTAATGGAATTATTGACTGGGATTCAGAATGAGATACATTTGATATCAGATATCAGAGTTTGTACTCATCACCAATGGTATTTCAAGTTCCTAGATGGAAACTATAGCCTATACTTGTGTCTTTGCTTCAAATGGCTTTAGTAACCTGTAGCCCTCATTCCTGTTTTCATTTTTAGCAATGCAAGCATTTTTAAAAGTTGTTTGGAACACAGAGCTTGACATATGGAAAAGTACTTAGGTATTTATGTAACAGAAGAGAATGCTGGACATTTACCCAGTACAAACACCACCTCTACCATCTTAGAAATTAAGAGAATATATCAATATTATACAAACAATTCACAATTATGGTAAACATTTGAAGGAAATATATATTTTTCTACCTTCTGAATGTATGCTGAACCTGTTAAAGATGTTACTAAGTAATTTAATGTTTTAAGTTTTTCCTTAGTTAAATGGGGATATTTGCTTAAGTCTAGACAAAAAAAAAAAAATAGATTCTTTCTTTTGAGACTTGAAAACACACCCACATCTGAGAGACAGTTAAGTAGGGGCTGTATAGAGGCTGATTGTCTAATTATATGACTCTAAAATATTCTTTAATTCTGAGATCTAAGGAGAAGAGAGTCAAACTATTGTATTTTTTTTTAACAGAATGGGACATTCTGCAGCAAATCTCCCGTTAATGAGACACATCAGAATAACCAAGGATTAACTGGGAAGATGTCAAATTTCATTACCCATTTAGATTCTGTATGGCTGAAAACAGAAAGCCCATGCGCATGCTCTCTTTCTCCCCTTCCTCTCATTGAGCAACCAGGTGCTCAGACTCAGAACATGTTCAAGGTCGTGCCACTTGCTTGATGAGAAATTCTTGGCACGTTTTCTGTCAGTGTTGGTTTCCTCTTCAGTGAAATGAGACTAATAAAGATTCCTACCACATAGGGCTTTGTGAAAGTCAAGTAATATGTGTTAAATACTTAGCTCTATGACTGGCTTAAATAAGGTCTTGATAAACAATATTTACTGTTGTTATTTTCATCATGGTTTCTTTCTTTTTTTTTTTTTTTTTTTCTTTTTTTGAGACGGAGTCTCGCTCTATCGCCCAGGCTGGAGGGCAGTGGCACGATCTCGGCTCACTGCAAGCTCCGCCTCCTGGGTTCACGCCATTCTCCCGCCTCAGCCTCCAGAGTAGCTGGGACTACAGGCACCCGCAACCACGCCCGGCTAACTTTTTGTATTTTTAGTAGAGACGGGGTTTCACCATGTTAGCCAGGATGGTCTCGATCTTCTAATCTCGTGATCCGCCCGCCTCGGCCTTCCAAAGTGCTGGGATTACAGGCGTGAGCCACTGAGCCTGGCCCATGGTTTCTATTTTTAACATACAAATCCAGAATCTCATTCTTCAAACACTTCGCAGATCCTCCTTGGATTCTTCTATTTTAACCACAGAATCAAAACTAAACATCGCCTCTTCTTCTTCCCAATTCTTCTATACACAATACCTCATAAACGGCACAAAGGAAATTTAAATCCTGATATGGTGATGTATAAAGCAAATTAGAGATTCACAGTAGGGGAAGGCAGATCTGGTCAAACTTTTCCCTGAGTTTTTGTGTAGCTGTAGTCAATGTCTTAAATCTCTGAGTTTCAGGGGTTTTTTCTCCATAAAATGAGTGATTTGGGGAATAGTCCCTGAGGATGCTTCCAGCTGTATGTGTTTATGCGCCTTCATCCAACTTTGTTTTTATTTTAATATGTCCTGGTTTATTTTAATATGTCCCACCACAGACATAGAGTCGCTATAAAATAATATAAAGGCCACAAAGAATTATTAGCAGAAAGTCCAGGAAAGTTTTGCGTCTCAGGTGATCTTGGATCCATGAATCAAGTCTCAAAGGGCAATCTACAAAGATTCTTGTAAAATAAGATGAAAATAAACATATTTTTTTATTCTACTTTTTAAAAGGAATACGTTGGTGAATTAACAAACAGTGACAGGAAAATGGATTTGAGAAGTTAACTGTAAAGCTAGAAGAGCTCTGTAAAGCATAACCTTTATCTGCATTGGTAAATAAAAATCTAGAGTGGAAAATGGATGAGGGAAGAGAATTGGAATGAATCCAACAAGTAACTGGGTTATAGCTCTGAGGCGAGGAGAATCAAGCCCTCAGTGAATGTCAGTTGCACAATCAATTCTTTAGGAAAGAATGATAACCATCAGCCTCTGAAAGGTGTACTTCCATGTGTCTGGGAAGAGCATAATTCACAGGAGGATAGGCCACACATGCGATTATTGAGCACAGGGTTCCTGGGTTCAGTACTATTAGGAATGACAATTCAGGGACACAGAATTTACAATCAAATAGAAAAAAATAGTAAATATACGACACAACATTAAGAATATATTTTAGAGAGTCTATATTCCCACTCGCATTTGAATTTTTTAAGAATAGGAACTGGTTCTAGTTTGTCTCTATCCGTTCCATACAAAAAACACAATTCTTGGCACATGTCAGGTGCTTAATAGAACTATATATTTTGAACAGCGTTTTGCCACACCATACAGAGCCATGACTGCGAGTAGGAAGGGAATGCTAGGTAATTGGTTGTAATTAAAGTTGTGGGGTTAATGAAGAAAGAAAGTACTAGAAATTCTGGGCATATTTTTACTGAGATAAGAGGCCAGGATATTGAGGAGCTTACCTGCAAATTCTGAACACAAAATGGACTTGGGAAATCTCAATTTTGACAGGTTATTTAAATTACTCAGAAGCAGAAGTAGCCATTTTGATCTGAGAGTTGATGTACAACTTTTACTTCAAATGGGCTTTCATAAGAAAGGCATGAGATAAATTCTCATTTTACCTATCCTCTTGATGCAAGAGAAGAGCAGAAAGTCTCTCAGGCACTAGAAGCTGCAATCAGTTCAACAACTAGATATATATGGTATTTTAAAATGTGAATCTCCAAACCTTGCCAGTGAATCAGCATGATCAGGGACATTATTAACTACATTCAAGAATATAGGAAGGCCAGGAAGTTTTCTGCTCTGCATCTCTTTTATTGGCCATTCCTCTACACATTCTATTCTGCTAAGTTACTACCTCTTCACAGGGAACAACACTTATTTCCTAATTTCATGAAGGGATGGTTTATTTCAGAGATGTACAAGTAAGGGATATGAACCAACATTCCTACTGGATGGTATTTGCCATATTCCTACCCAAGCTTCTCAATATTCTCTTATAGCATCTTGTTTATTTCCTTTTTAATGTAGATCACAAGTAATCATTTTGTTAATGTTTTGTTTATATATATATAATTAAATGGTAAACCATGAACGAGAAAGACAGGTAAATCATTTACTACTCTTTCCTAGGGTCCTATACAGAGTTTGGGTCAGAGTTAGCACTTAAAATATTTTGTGACTAAATTAAGGAATGAACAAATCAATATGAAAACAAAGAGATGAGATACCATAAGAACTATTTTCTTTGGCATCTTCAAGGCTTAACTCATTCAATTATGCCCAGAAATCTCAAAAATAATTTTCTTACTATCCCAGGAAAAAATAATAAATCTAAACAGGAGATATTTAAAGCGATATCTGTTTCTCCTTCGCTCTCCTCTTCCTTCTCCACCACTACTGCCACCATGACTACTTTTTAAAGTGAAAAATTGCTTCTTGTTATAATATGCTGGTTTGCAGGAGACAAATAAGCTACCTTACCCCTCAAAATTAGGTAGGAGTAAAGTGTAATCAGTATGAAATCTTTGAAGAATTTTCTATTGATGTAAAAATCCTTTCAGCACTATTACTTTTCTTTGGAAGTGATGGGGAAGAGGGAGGCCAATTAAAAAAGACTTTGCCATTGAGTCTCTGTCTTTTTTAACGTTAGAAGCTTCAAAACCCTTTTGAGTGACGATTGCAACACCTACCAAAGGTAACTCTGGGAACTTTAACACAATGGAAAATGTTGTGGGACTAATATAGGGTACATTTATTTTTAGAGAATTGGGTAGTGCAACCTGTGGGCATTTTAAGTTCACAGCTTGAAACCAAACCCATTCCAAACACATCAGTCCAAATACCAAGGCAACATTTTAGTGACAGATGAAAATCTGGCTTAATTACTCTACCAGAGTAACCCCATCAAAATTGCCTCCCAGACTGAGAGAAAGGGCTGAAGGTCATTAAAGAAAATTACTTTTCTTAGTCAAAGTCTGTAGGAACTTAACCAATGAAGGTACTGGTTCTGTAGAATAAGAGACAGGATAGGAGGGAAAGACTGTTTTGTTTTGCTTTCCTCTGGGGAGTCTTAGGGCCAGAAGAAGGTGCCAGGAATGTTTACTGGCCTGACAGACAGCATCTTGGTGAGGTCCAGCGGCGGTGGAAATTGAGGTAATTCCCGCTAATGTTCACTGACTGGAGCACAGCCCCTTCTGACTCCCAGGAAGAAGCCAAGGTAGATACTAACTCTTAGCAGGATTGAGGAATCTGTAGCGATTATAAAGTCTAAAGGTGGAAAGTTAGCTTAAAATTTACACTTCATTTCTTTTGGCGGGTATTTGAAAGATCTTTGAAGGTTTCCATGGGGATACAAAAGCAATATCATGATAGCTATTTAAAGTATTACAGAATAGTATTATTTTTTCAATTGGCTGCTAGATGTATTTGTCCAAAGTGGAATAATTTTACTGAGGATAGGAACTAATCAAAACCCCATTTATTATTTATTTATTTTTGCTTCCTTCAAAAATCACTACCAACAATGATCTAGAAATAAGACTTCTGGATATTTACCCAAAAGAACTGAAATTAAGAAACTGAAAAATCGTGAGAGTTTTAGTGAGATATAATTGATATAAAAAGAACGGCACATATTTAATGTATACAATTTGATGAGTTTAGACATATGCAAACACCTGTGATACCAGCATTAAAATCAAGAGAACAGACATATCTAGCATAACCAAGTTTATGCTGCTTAAATAAAGCACACTTGGAGCTCTATCTATCTCCTGCCTGGATGGCTTCATCGGGATCCTACCATGTCTCAGATGATCCACATTAGACCAAGTGGTGGGGGAGGGGAATTATCTAGGAGGATACAGTGAAATTCCCAGAACTTAAAGAACTGTTGCTGGATTAACAGGGGAGGAAATAAGTTATAAGAGGCTGGAGAATTGTTTGGGCTGTAGAAACCATTATCTTACGGGTTATAATTTTGAAACTGACTAGCAGTTGGCATTTTATAGGAAAAAGGCAGTCTTTTTTTTCAATAATAATATGGGTGGCTTATTACTTATTGGGTGAACTATATGCGAGGTATTGTTCTAGACAATCCATTTGTTTTAACTCATTTAGTCTTTGTATTATACCTATGGAATAGGCACTGTTAGTATGCTTGTTTTCCTTATGAGAAAGCTGAGACAAATACAGCTGAAATAATTTGCTCAAATCAACTGGCTTTTAAGAGAAAGCTTTGAGGTTTGAACCCAGTCTTTCATTACAGCCCGTGAATTTAATTGTTATAGAAGGGGTATGAAACATACACACATAAATTATTATATTGTCAATGTAATAAAATGGTTTAAATTTTTTACCTAATAAAAAGGAGATGAGGTGGACAAGGGTTTCTTAAGGGTAGAAGAACTTGAATCGAACCATGTTAGAAAACACAAAATGGAGTTTTGTCTTATTTTTGTTTGTTTGGTTGGTTGCTTGGGTTGGTTGGTTTGTTTATTTTAGTAATTGTTAGAATTTCAATAATCAAGAATAGATAGTCATTTCCAGTTAAAACCGATCATTTGAGCAAAGTGATCATAGTAGAAGAAATGATAATAAAGAGTTGTATAGTTTTTTAATTTAACTTTTATATCCTCTCACTTTATCCTTGTGACAACCTTTTGAGAGAGACATTTTTATCACCTTCCTCACCTTCCAGACAAGGAAACTAGGTTTTAATAAATATCTTATGGAGAGTGCACAAGTTGTGTGCTGAGCAACCTGACTGGAATAGAAAATTCAAATAAAAAAGAAGACAAGATTAAAACGGCAGTGTGGAAACTGACTTTTGCCAAGCGCTGAATACTGACTCTCCTTGCTTACCATCTTCCCCGCCACTGTACTTTCACAATACCCAGAATACTCTTCTATTATTTGACTTAACAACAATGGCTAATATTTATTAAGTATTTCCTACAAGATCACACTGTACTAAATATCTCATTTATCCTCACATGAAGTAAATAACTTTACAATGAGCAAGCTGACGCTTATAGAGGTGCAAATAAGTTGGGCACATCACACGGCTAATAATAGGCTGTGTGTGGAACTAAGATTTTTTCGATGTCAGAGTTCAGGTTCTTAGCCTCCCACCACACTGCCTAATGAGTCTTGGGGCTTTCCTTTAAGCAGATTCTAAGTTCCTTGAACGTATGGACTTCTGTTTTTGTTTTCACTTTGTATAACCCATGACCAGCACAGTACTTGGCACATAGTAGATGGTCAATACCTTTTGCATTTGTAAGTAAATAATAAGAGAAAGAATTGACTAAATTAAGTAATCTGGCAGCAACAGGAGTGTAGGAGTTCTACTGAGACATGGTAGGACACAGGTGAAACCATCAAGGCAAGAGATAAATAAGGCTCCAAATGTGTTTCATTTAAACAGCATAAACTTGGTTATCTTGGATATGTCTTTTACTTTGATTTTGGTGATGGTATCACAGGTGTTTGTAGATGTCTAAACTTGTCAAATTGTATATATTCAATATGTGCAGATCTCTGGATGTCAATTATACCTTACTAAAACTTCCATAATTTTTCAGTTTCCTAATTTCAGTTCTTTTGGATAAATACCCAGAATTGCGAACGTTGGATCATATGTTGGTTCTATTTTTTAATTTTTTAGGAACCTCCATACTATTTTAAATATAGGCTGCATGATTTTTGCATTCCCACCAACAATGTACAAACATCAGGGAAATGCAACTCAAAGCCACCATGAGATAGCATTTTATATCTGTCAGGATCACTGCTATCAAAAACAAATAATAACAAATGTTGGTGAGCATATGGAGAAAGCAGAATCCTTGTATTTCTTTATGTGTTGTGAACTCTGTAATACTTTGAAGTTTCATTTGGCTTTAAGTAGCCACTCACTCTGTCAGTATAAATTTTTAAAATGATGTTTTACTACATATTTGCCACTGTGGTCCTTTTATTACTTCATAAAGGTTTGGCTTTCATCTACCCAGATTTTATTCTACCTAAAGAATATCCTTTTGCATTTCTTGTCATATGGGTCTCCTGGCATCTAATTCTTTAAGCTGTTATTTATATCAAGTTATTTTTATTTCAGCTTTGTTTTCTCTCAACAGTATATAGAATTCTAGATTGTCAAGTTTTTAAAATCACCTTAAAGAAATAATCCTGTTGTCTTTTGTTCCCAATAAAGTATCAAATGGCATTTTTATTTTTGTTCCCCGAAATGTAATATATTTCTGTTTCTATGGCCACTTTTACAATTTTTTAAAAAAATTTTTGATTTACCTTGGTGTAACCTTCTTTGTATTTCTCTAGCTTGGGGCTTACTGAGTACTTAGATCTGTGGGCTGATGTCATTCTTTACTTTGGAATGCTTTTTTTCGTTATATCTTCAATGTATCTCCATGTGCAACTCTAATTTATGGAGTTAAATCATTTAATTTTGTCCTGCAGGTATCTAATGGTCTGTTTTTAATTTATTTTATTTTATTTTTGTCTTTGATTTTTAGTTTAGATAATTTTGATTGACCTATCCTGGAGTTCAACCATCTTTCCTCTTGTGTGTCATTCTGCTGCTAATCTTTTCTAATGAATTTTTAATTTTAGATGTTGGGGTTTTTTATAACTCAAATTCAGGAATGTCTATATGTTTCCTGCCGAGAATTTTCATTTTTTCATCAAAATTTCCCATATGCTCCCACATGTCTATTTTTCACTTCAGACTCTTTAACAGATATGTGATACATTTAAGGTCCTTGCCTGTAACTTTAATACATAGGTTGTTTTTGAGTGTTTCTATTGATTTTTCTTTTCTTTATTGGGAAATTTGCCTCTTGATTATGGGTTGTATTTCTATGCTTTGTTGTTTATCCTATATTATTTTTTATTGTATGGCAGATACTGTTATAAAACATTAGAGACTGAAGTAGACAATATACATGTTGTTTTTCCAGAGACCTCATGCTTTTTCCTATGTCAGGCAGCTATGGGGAAGGGCTAATCACTTAATTTTAATCAGTTGCTAATCTGAAGAGGGCAACCTGAAGCTTTATTTAGTTTCAATTCAACTTCACTTTTGAATGTTTTGAGGATGAGTTCCATTCTTCTCTATAGCAGGCCTTTGAGATCGAAGCACTACAAGATATAAAAATCATGAGGAGCGATAATTTTATGTTTAAGGGTCTGCACTGTTATAGTACTTAACAACCCATAATGTCATTAAAAATTTCCTGATTTCTCCTTGTACCGGAAAACTCTCTTCACATATTGTAGGTTTGCTCTCCCACTTACCCATAAAAAGAATAGGCAACTAATTCCAAGCACAAAAGCAGCCAATGGACCTTGCTCACCTAGGAATAGACTGATCCTCTTTGAAATTTAGTTTATTTAAGTTCCTTGTGTCTGAGATTCTTTAATGGCTTTAAAAGAAGGTGTTATTTTGTTTTCGTTTATTCAGGCTTTTGTATTGTTAAAGAAGGAGTGATGGCTTTTGATAACTTTCTACATCCTAACTGGGAGCAAACAAAGCTCTACATTGTACTGTTATTTTAACATGGACTGAAAAGGAAGATGTAGGAAAATAACATGACAAATGATATAAATTGCAAACTGAGGAAAAGGGAATAGATTTATTCTGTATCAACAAAGTGGATAGAAATGTATTTTGAGCTAATTTGAGAACTAACTTTTCAAATCTAGGACTGTTCAACGATGAAAGAGTTTCCTTGATGTGGTATTGCAAGTTCCTTGTCACTATAGATATTCAAAGCCAAAGCGCAATGGCTACTTGGGCATTGCAGAAAAGGAAAGGAAATTCAAAACTGGGTTTAGTTGGGGTGATTTTTAGAGTCCCTTGTAGCACAGAGGTTTTATGACAAACAATATGACTACATATATGTTTTTCCACTGAATTCTCACCTCTAGGAAACAGCAGGTGCCTTCTGAGGCAAGGCGTTGCAAATAAAAGGAAATCTTATTTCATGTTGAGAGTGCTTTTTCAGGGAACTACTGCTTCCCATAAATATTGTTGGCAAGCAAGTAGGGAATCTAGAATGTCCTAGGACCTGGTATAGGCAAGACATATGGACCATTTGTAAATAGGTTTTAATAAACCCTTGAGTAACATTACATAGTAATTGACTATTTACTTGCATATCTTTCTTTTCAGACTATATGTATGAGGCTAGTGAGTTAGATTTTTCTGCTGAAATTACAAGACACTGACTCTGCCTAATTTGAGCAGAAAGTGAATTTACTAAGACATTGAGTAGTTCAATGCATTTCGTAGAGAACTGAAAAGCCATGCTTGCACACCACACAGAAAAAAAAATAGCCAAAGTCATGCCACATGTCCCATGATGTTACCACTGTACCCAGGTACCTAAGAGTGAGTGAACTGTTACCACTACTGCTTCTGGATCTCGGATATGCTTTTTTTTTTCCTGCCGCCATCTTCACCAACATGAGCTCCACCACCTCTTGTGTTTTACCTTTTTTTGCCTCACTAGCTTTGAAATCAAAGTAGACATGAGTGCACTTGTTTTGCAGAGTCTAGATCACATCCCTGCATCCTAGCTATAGGAGAAGTTGGAAAAGGGAGTAGCTAGCATCTTCACTTCATACTGGGAAGTAAATTCTGCCTTCTTTCAATACTTATGAGGTGGGAAGTCTCCTACACATAGAACAGGAGTACAGATACTTGTTACACATGTTTATGGAAAGTATAAGTTGAGTTAATGAATGGCAGAACTAGGAATAGCTATTAAGAGAGGTTAGGCTGAGCTTAACTGGAAATGGGAACTTTCCTTGGGTCTTTCTCCACGATACAGAGCAGGATCACAATGTGCTCATTCCTTTAAGAAGCCAGTGAGAAGACCAACCTGAGTTTCATTTTCCATGACTTTATTCAATTCCTTCTGTGTCCCGTCCTTGAAGCAAATGGGATTCAATGGTGAGGACAGACATGTGCTTGCATTGATAGTGACTACAGTCTAACAGAGGATAAAGATGTCAAATTAAAGTTGTATTCAGTATTTTACATGTGTTCTGAGAGTGTGCCATTGGGGATATGACCTGGGTAAGAGACTCAGAGAAAGCTTCTCCTGGGAAGGAATGACTGAACAAAGATCTAAAGAATAAAGAGGAAATAATAGATAAAGGGGTAGATGGGGATGATATGTGAAAAGCATTCATGGCACAGGTGAGGTGTTTACAAAGGTCAAGCATTGCACAGGAGGCTGGAACAAGGTCTCTTAGACACTGAAAAAAAGACCAGTTTTTGGATCCCCAAGGGTTTTGTGCAATTTCAAAATACAAAAGGAGACAGGGATAAAACAATATTGAATATTGGAGAGGTTATTGCTTATTAAAGATATAGACTTTTGTCCTAAGGAATTATGGGAAGTCATTGAGTGTTGTTTGTTTGTTTGTTTGTTTTTTTAAAGAGCTCATTCTCCTACAGTTGTATTTGGGTTTGGAAACAGTTACTCTAAATCCAGTGAGGAGAATGAGCTACAGGGTGCAAGAATAGCTACAGGACACCAGCTAGAAGGAAATGAGACTAGTGCCAACGGAAGTGGATGATGGCTTTACCTAGGGTGGCAGCAATGAGGATAGATATAAAAACATATTAATCCCCAGCTAAAGCTGAGGGTGATATTGTAGAAGAAGGTAGTGAAAAAGTACAGACACCAGCCTTGTGTGCACTGACACCCAAGTTAGTGCTACACCAAGGATGTTAGCGATAATCCAGTCATAGCAGACTTTTCCCCAACTTCACTATTTGCTGCTATTTAAAATAAACTTTTGGCATATAAAATGAAATATACTTAGGGTTTCTGTATTTCTGTCTCCTAAAACTTGAAACATCCATTTGGTCCAGTAAAATTTTTAATAAACCCTTTTTGTATTCCTACTTAAAAAGTTATCTTTTACATCTTTTAACTGTTTTAATTAAAACAGTTATTTACTGGACAATAGTTTCTTAACCTACAATTACTTTATTAAATATTGCTAACTTTCTAGCTTTAACATGCTTACAATCCAAGATCTAACAAATATGTTTTTATTTAACAAAATATTAATAAAAATAAAACAAAATAAAATTATTAAATTTTAAATAAAATATTTACAGTAATTTCCTCTCAAATTAAGGTGTGCAAGGGACATTTAATTGAACTGAGAAGCTCTGGTGTTTATATATATTTAGACCTGATCTCCCCTGGCACAAATCGGGCAGAATCAACCAAAAGAAGAAGCAGGATTAATTTTTGGCTTTGTTTCTTGCGGAGTATGAATGTGCGTGACTATGTGTGTGTTAATTTGTGTGAGTGTATGTGGTATGAGTCTGTGTGTATGCAAGCATATCAGGTATGGCTTGTCATAAAAGAAAAGTATATTTCACTAACAGGTGGACCTCGTGCTGAGTAATAACATGCGTGAGTCTCAGTGGACAGAAGTTGTTAGTAAGTGGTTGTCTGTATGGCCTGAATCCTTTGCCACCTAGATCCCATTCCTTGAAATATCTCTCTCCAATCTCTATCTCAATATCTCAGATGTATTTGTGTTAAACACAAATAATCCTTAGAGAGGTGTCATGGAAATTTGGATCAAATCTTAAAGACTGGATGGGAACATAATTATGAGATATTTTGCACTTGCCAATGGTGAAAAGCAAATCACAGGGGCCATGGAAACTTTGGAAGATGCCATGTTGAAATCATAAATTTTGGTCCTATGCTACTTCTGGAACTTCAGCGAACAAATATAGGGTACTGAACAATTATTAGTGCAATAATGATTATAGAAACCTTAGGGAACCAAAAAAAAAACTCAGCTAATTTCACAAATTTGCTGAAGCCAGCTCTGTCTCCTATCTTGATGGTCTTCCCAAGTCTTATTATGGCTCACCCTTTTAGAAACAGTCTTGTGCTCCTTCAGAAAATAGTGCTTCTCAAAGTATGGTCCTCAGACCAGCAGCATAAGCATCCAAGGTAATAGCATTCACTACCCACATTTTACAGTAAAATATACTTCCCTACATATTTTGGGAGAAATCAGAGGAAGGGGACTGCATGTACAGAAAAGGGTGTCTGCATCTCTGTACCATGTCTGCTCCTCATCCTCTCCCTTCAAGGCTGCCCTGGAAACTCAAATCTGTTTCCTTTATAAATTTAGGTTACCAACATTTAGCATCAGATACTCAGAGCATTGCCTTCTACACATAGGTTTTAACTTAAATGACTCAACAAATCAGTCTCTCATCAAGAGAGAAGCCAGTGCTTGCTGTCAAGGTAAGCAATTTTCTCTATGTCCATTTTTTCTATTTTCTTCCTCTGATTATGTACTACTTGAGAGCACAACTCTATCTGCCTTATTCATCCCTGAATTCCAAACAGTGTGTCTGGCACAGCGTTCTTGGGGTTATTTACTGAACGAGTAGATGAGTAAATGCAAAGTTGGTGATTAAATCTGCAAAACATCCACCTACGGAAGTGATCAGATTCTGTGGCTGTGTAACATTTTTTATCAATAAACATATGGGAAGGTGAGACCTGTAGGGAGAATCTCAGTCAACGTAATGAGGGGAAAGGGAGCTCATTGTGCATGCAAGACAGAAAAAGGTGATCAGCCAATGGAAAGTAATATGTATATTATTTATATACACTTGAGAAACATGAAAGGGGAAACAGAGCCACAGCCACATAAGAACAATCTGGGGTTGCAGATACCTGTGTAAGAAGACAGAAGGCAAATGAATTTGGGCCCATACCTTTAAGGAATAAGGAGCCACTATTGGCTCTTGAGCAGAAGAATGACATGATATTAACTTTGGCTAATTTTCAGGAAGCAATTCTTATATATAAGGCATCTTCATATACATCATTCATACCCCTCCCAACTACCATTTGGGTGAGAGCTTATCTGTGTTTCAACAGTCAGAAGATGGAGGATCAGAGAGGCTGAATAACTTTCCCAACATTATGGAGCAAGTGAGCGACAGCCTAGTTCCATCCCAGATACCCTAAACCAAGTTCAGTGCCCTTTACGGAAACATTAATTAGGCAGTAGTGTGTGAAGCGGCAAAATTTTCTGAAAACAAAATGATTGGGTCTTAAGGCAGTTGTCTTGTTTCTAAAGAGTGGGAGGAAATGGTGGGGATGGGAGAGAAGCTCTCAGTAGGTGAGGACCTCACATAGCAAATATGCAGAAATACCCCAGGCTCTCCATCTGCTCCAAACTGAGGGCCAGGAGACAGCCAAGGAGTCTGTGGAAGAGAGCAGTCCGTGGGTTCCTGTAAGTTGAAAACAGCATCTCCCTTCTCAGGGCTGTGAATTGTGCCCCAGAAAAATCACAGCAGGGGCAGGCAAGGTGGGAAATGAATATATCATTCCTGAATGTGAGCAAATTCTGCCTTGTCACTGCTGTCAGTCCCTAGTGATTTTCTTGGCTGAGTTTATGTTCACTTCGGGGTTTCCTGATTTCCTGCTATGTCTCTACATAGTATGTATACCCTAGGTGCAATTGTGAAGGCGGGGAAAGGTGAGGCAAAGGCAATGAAGTGAAAAAAGAGGAAAAACAGGAAAAGCATCCATGTACAAAGACTCTTAAGTGTGGCCAGTGAGAGGATCCAGGTATTTATATAGACACTGAAGCAGGGAGGAATGTGTGGAAGATGTTTCTGTGGAGCCCTGTGGGCATCAGTGTGATTACAGGAGAAGTGTTGGTGGTCCTAGCAGGTCAGGTTGCTGCTTTGATTCAGGAAAGGTAGGAGTCACCCTGAGAGGAAGTTGGATACTGCTTCTGAACTCTCCCTAGTCAAACACTGGCTTCTGTTGACAATACCATGTGAGTGCTTCCCTTCAGTGTTCCCAGGGGGACTGCACATTCATTATTTCTTGCTTACATGGGATATGTCTCTCTTTCAGTCCATTGAATCCCTTTTCTCAAGGTGAGAAATGGCCCCTTGCACTACAGGTTTTAAGAGTAGAGAATATTAGGCTGGGCATGGTGGCTCACGCCTGTAATCCCAGCACTTTGGGAGACCGAGGTGAGTGGATCACCTGAGGTCAGGAGTTCAAGACCAGCCTGACCAACATGGTGAAACCTCATCTCTACTAAAAATACAAAAAAATTACCGGGCATGGTGGTGCACACTTGTAATCCCAGCTACTTGGGAGGCTGAGGCAGGAGAATCACTTGAACCCAAGAGAGGAGTTGCAGTCATCCAAGATTGCGCCACTGCACTCCAGCCTGGGTGACATGAGCGAGACTCTATCTAAAAAAAAAAAATGAAGAGAGAATATTTGCTTGTACTTGAGTTTCAAGAATTATAATATGCATAGAAATAATTAAAATAATTATATTCACATAATTCATTTTAGGTATATTTCTCATTTATCAATGCATTTTTATGAGCCAGGCATTGGGCTAACTTATTTTTATATATTGTCATTAATCCTAACCAGGCATTTTAAAGTAAATGGTATGTTTCCCTGTTTTCCAGTAAAAGAACCTAATAATTAGAGAGCTAAGGTGACTTGTCTAAGATCACGTAGCTCATCCATGGTAAAATTGGCATAAAGACTCTAGATTATCTGTTTCTGAAATGTTAACTTTACTACAACACTCTACACTGACAGCTCAATCAAAATATTTAGAGGTTGATGTCACAGTAAGAGCTTTCCCTGGAGTCAGAAAAATGAAGTGTATTCTGTATGTCCTATTTCCTGATCATGAGTTGTTGAAAGCTTTTTTATTTTTGTTTTTCTTATTCCATAATCGATATGTCTGATTATTTCTCCTTAGAAAAAGCATATTTAACAAAATGTTATATAAGTGTTTCCGTAATATAAGTTAATGAAAACTGCAGAGTTTTTTTTACATTTTGCTCTTTATCCATATAGTACAAAAAGCTATTTCTGTATGCAAGAGCTTCCATCTCATGTGAGACAGTCACAAATACAGAGCAGAGACATCCCAGGCAAGGAAGGAACCCAACAAGAGCAAAAACTGGATAGTCTTGGCCTCCATATTATGAAGTAAAATGATTTCATTCTAGGGATCACAGGATTTCTTGTTATATTTAAGTGGAAGAGAAAGTCAGAAGAGTTACTATGGGACACAAGAAAGTGGAATTGAGTCCTATTCCTACATCTACTACATCCCTAGTGAAACAGGAAAAGAGGTTTCTACACTCTGGGTCTCAGTGAAGTCATATATAAAGGAAATGGCTTGTTTAATTCACATTTACATTGATTTAAATTTCACACAAAATTACAAGCAAAGTTAAAGTCTTATTCGAAAGCTAGCATAAATACATAGAAATGTAAATGTACAATAAACATTTTTTCAAACTCTATAAATTCCTACTTTATTTGTAGGAATTACCCATTCGTACAAGAATGCTGGAGACAAAATTAACTGTTAATAAAGAAAAAAATGTCAGTAATAATGTCAGCTCTGAGACAGAAGGCTCTGTTTTAGGCAGTAAATTCTTAAATGATCAATTAACATATGTTTTTCTTTCAAGGATAACCTGACTACTATGGAGTTCAAATTGTTTTTAATAAACTGTATTGTAAACATTAGAATATGAATAACTCAAAGATAAGCATACCTAAGTTGAAGCCCAGCTTGTTACATGAATCAGATAATCTAAACAGCAATGTTATTGCTTGAGGTGTTATGATCCCCCGAACAGGATATTACAGATGTCAAAACACAGGAGGAATAGGAGCATATGAATTAGATCCCCAAAAGTTATGTTAACATAGATAGTATTTAGATAAACACAATCTATTTTTATCTTAAAGGCAGAATTCAATTATGTTAGAACTTGTGTGTAAAATGAAAAAGCTCTGAACAGTTGAAAGTTAAGAAACAGGAATTCTTACATGTTGGACACTGGGAAACTATAATAACTTCAGATCACACAACTGTAGTAAAAGAATAGGAATCCTATTGGATCCAGGAGGAACAGGGCCCTTGTCCTTGAGTAGACATCAAAGATTTTTTAAGAGCATTGAGAAGCAATGCTAAGGCAAGTTTGACAGGAAAGAATATCCTCTGATAGAAGTCAGTGCCCAAAATATCAAGAGCTACTTTGGAAAACGGAAGTTTTTGATATGAAGATTCAGAGTAATGCAAATTTTATAATTTTGGAGTTTCCTCATAGTTCCTTTCAAAGTT
This sequence comes from Homo sapiens, assembly GCF_000001405.40. NCBI lineage: Eukaryota > Metazoa > Chordata > Mammalia > Primates > Hominidae > Homo > Homo sapiens. Next base: position 107,382,025 of record NC_000010.11, on the reverse strand, counting down.
AGGATAGAAAAGTTATAACTCAACAAATACGTTTGTAGGGTTACTCTTAACTAATTCTGCTCAAATATGCACACAGAAAGATCTATAAGTATTAAATATCTTAAAAGCAATCTTGATTCCCATCAATAGTTGAATGGATAAATAAATTGTAATATGGTTATACAATAGAATGCTATTCAGCAGTAAAAACAACTTATGTAGAAAGCATTGTCTGAGGCCAAGTTCCCAGAAAACAGTCTCTGACTCGGACATTGTACCAAGAAAATTTATGAGTGATTGCTTTTGGGAACAACACCTATGAAGGAATAAAGGAGGTAGGACTGGGCAGGAGATGTTTACGGCGATGCAGTCAGAGCAAAGAGCTCAGCTCATCCTACGTGGAGCTCTGAAATAGGGATAACTTTTCAAAGTCATCCAAAATCAGGAAAGGGGGTTATATATTTGTAATTTCACCCACCAGTCATTGGACAGTTGCTACTGGGGAGGTGTAACGTGGAACAAGGCAGATCCCTTTAGCTAAGGGAATCTGGAAGGAAAGGCCTGGAAAGGGTCTCAGCAGAGAGTGATCAGCAGCCAAAACAGCCAGCTGCTGAAGGAATGAGTAGCTCCGTTCTGAGGATCCTGAAAAGGAAATCTGAACAGCGTACCACAGCATCCAGAATAGACATATATATCAACATGATTTTATTTCCTAACATAATGTTGACTGCAAAAGGCAAGTTGCATATGAATACAGAAAAATGCAATTTAATGAATGTATAACATTCATTATCATATCATTTTAAAAATATGCCAAAACAATAATTTATTTCCTTAGACATCTGTAAGGAAACAATAGAAGGTAATGAAAATGCCAAGATCACTATAATAGTTACTTCTGAGTACACAGAAAGGCATATACAGATATTCTCAATCTAAGTGTCAAAGTGGTAAGTTTAGTAATGCCTTCTATTCTTTACAAAGGTATTCTTTATATGTTTGTGTGATGGTTAATTTTATGTGTGAACTTGACTGGACTAAGATTTTCCCAGAAAGCTGGTAATACATTATTTATGGGTGTGTCTATAAGGATGTTTCTGGAAAAGAAGAGCATTTGAATTGGTAGACTGGGTAAAAAAGTCACCCTCAACAATGCAGAGGCCATCTATTGAGGGCCTGAATAGAACAAAATGGTAGAGGAAGGGTTAATTCATTCTTTTTCTGCTTGAAGTGAGATATTCATCTTCTTCTGTCCTCAGACATCCTTGCTTCTGTTTCCTGGGCCTTGGGACTCAGAGTGAGTAACACCATTAACCTTTCTGGTTCTCCAGATTACAGGCAGCAAATTGTGGAACTTTCTGGCTTTCATAATCATGCAAGCCAATTCCTACTGGAATTCAGGGGTGAGTGAGGCAGATATAGTTGTGCTTTCTAGTAGGATATAATCTAAGGAAGAAAATAGGAAAACAGAAGGACATAGTCTTTTTTTTTTTTTGCCAGAGGAAGTGGCCACCCACACTGGTCTTTCCACATTTATTTGAGGGGATTAACCCTTCATTGACTGAAAAAATGGTAATGGCCTCCCCTAAAGCAGTTTCCATGCAAGGCAATGCTGATTATACTCCTGGCCCACTCCCAACACCCATCTTTGCATCTAGACCTATATCTAGACCCTAGCAGGCCCCTAAAGGTGAGGTACAATGTATGACCTCTAATGAGGTATGCCATAATCCAAAATAACAACTTGAATTTTCTAACTTATACAAGCAGAAATCTAGGGAACATGCATGGGGATAATATTAAGGGTATATAATAATAGTAGAAGGAGCCTAAAGTTGGATCAAACCAAGTTTATTGACATGGGCCCACTAAACAAAGATTTTTCATTTAGCATTACAGCTCAGAGAGTTAAAAAGGGCTCTAACAGTTTGGCTGGTTAGTTGGCTGAAACATGGATCAAAATATGGCTCACAGTGAATGAATTAAAGACACTTAACCTTTCTTGGTTTAATGTAGAGGAAGGGATACTAAGGCTTAGAGAGATTGGAAAATTAGAGTAGATTTGTCATATAAGACCTACTCTCCCACACTAGGAGGTTCCAGAAGACATGGCTTTCACTGAAATTTTGAGATATAAATTTGTGAAAGGAGCCCTAGCATCCTTGAAGTAGTCCATGAATGTTCTTCTCTGTATGAGACCTCACAGTAAGAACTGCAGCCACTCAACTGGAAAACCTAAATACAATAGGCATAATTGGATCCCAGAGTGACAGGGGCCAAGCAGAGGCACCCAACCAGCAAAAGAAAGTTGGGCATAGTTTCCTTACCGGACAGCAGATTCAATGCAGCAATCAGAATAATCTGACTCATGCAGACCTATGGTGTTGGCTAGTTAATCCTGGTGTTTCTCGAAGTGAAATAGATAGGAAGCCCACTCAATTTTTACTTGACCTGTAAGCAGAAAAGTTCTTGTTCAAGTGAACAAAAGTCTAACTCAAATCATATAAACAAAGTCAAAGCCTCTCAGTCAATTCTAAGCCCTAAGGCATTTACAGACCCAGAACCCCTTGAGTGAAAGCAAGGCTATTCTCTCTCAAGGAAGAACGCTGGTACACTAACAAAAACTTATTTTAAACTGTTAATATTTCTCCCAACCTTCCCCAAAGGTACCTACAGCCTTTTAAACAGGGTAACTAGGAATTGGAGTAAAGGAAGTAAACATAACTTTTAAGGACTACTGGACACTGGCTCTGACATGACTCCGGAACATCTAAAACATCACCATGACCCTTCATCCAGAGCTGGAGCTTATAGAGGTCATATGATCAATACAATTTTTGATCAGGACCATCTCACCGTGGGCCCAGTGAGTTCCCAAATGCATCCTGTGGTTATTTCCCCAGTCTTTAAGGCATAACTAGAATAGACATATTTAGCAGCTGGTAGAAACCCTGTATTGGTTCCCTGAACTGCAAAGTAAGGGCTATTGTAGTGACAAAGGCCAAGTGGGAGCCATTAGAACTTCCTCTACCTAAGAAAATAGTAAATCAGAAGCAGTGATGCATTCCTGGGGGGACTGTAGAGACTGGTGCAGAATTTGAAAGATGCAGGGTTGGTGATCCCACCACATCCGTGCTCAATTTCCTATTTTGCCTGTACAAAGAACAGATGGATTTTGGAGAATGACAGTGGATTGTTACAAGCTTAATTAAGTGGTGACTCCAATTGCAACTGCTGTACTAGATGTGGTTTCATTGCTTGCACAAATTATCACATATTCTAGCACCTTGTATACAGCTATTGATCTGGAAAATTCCATTTTCCTACCCTGTCCATAAGGTACACTACAAGCAGTCTGCATTCAGCTGGCAAGACCCACAATACACCTTTACTGTCCTACCTCAGGGATCTATAAATTCTCCAGGTCTATGTCAGAATTTCTTTTGCAGGGTTCTTGATCATCCTTTTTTCCTACAAGATGTAGCATGAATGATATGCTGATTGAACCCAGTAAGAGAGAAGTAACAACTACTCTAGACTTATTGGTAAGATAGTTGCATGTCAGAGGGTAGAAAATAAATTCAATTGAAATCCAGGGGCCTTCTACCTCAGCAAAACCTCTAACGGTCCAGTGGTGTGAGGAATGTCATGACATCCCTTTCAAGGTGAAAAATATGTTGTTCCATCGGGCTTTTCCCTCAATCAAGAAAGAGGCACAGTACCTACTGGGCCTTTTGGATTTTGGAGACAACATATTCTCATTTGGGTGTATTACTTTGGACTCTTTACTAAGTGACCTGAAAAGCTGCTCATTATAAGTGGGCCCAAGAACAAAATAAGGCTCTGCAATAGCTTCAGGCTGCTCTGCAATGTGCTCTGCCTCTTGAGCCATGTGATTCAGCAAATTCAGTGGTGCCTGAAGTGTCAGAGGCAGAGAAAGACACCAATTGGAGCATTTGGCCTGCCCCTATAGATGAATCACAGCATGATCCTTTAGGATATTAGAGCAAGGCCCTGCCATCATCTACAGATAACTGCTCTCTTTTTGAGAGACAGTTCTTGGCCTATTACTGGGCCTTAGTGGAAACTAAATGTTTGACCATAGTCCACTAAACTACTATACGACCCAAGCTGCCCATCATAAACTGGGTGTTATCTAACCCACCAAGTCATAAATCTGAGCTTGCATAGCAACACTTCATTATTAGATGGAAATAATATATACACATTCAGCCCAAAGCAGACCCTGAAGTTGAAGTAAGTTACATGAAGAAGTGTCTCTAATGCCCATGGTTCTTGCTCCTGCCATACTGTCTTCTCTCTCCCAACCTACACTTATGGCCTTATGGGTAACTCTCTATGATCAGTTAACAGAGGAAGATAAGACTAAGGCCTGGTTTACAGATGGTAGTATTCATGGTCCTCACGATACACAGGCACTACCTAAATGTGGACAGTTGCAGCACTAGAGTCCCTCTCTGGGACATCCTTGAGGACATTGGGAAAGGAGAATCTTCCAAGTAGGCAAAACTTTCAACAGTTCACTGGCTTCATACTTTTCTTGGAAGGAGAAATGGCCAGATTTGTGATTATATTTTGAAGTATGAATTGTGGCCAATGGTTTAGCTGAATGGTCAGATATTTGGGAAAACATGATTGAAATATTGGTGACAAATTTGGGGAAGGTTTAGGTAGAGAGATATCACCAAGTGAACAAAAAATGTGAAAGTTGTATCCCATGTGAATGCTCACCAAGGGTGAGCTCAGTAGAAGAGGACTTCAATAATCAAATGGACAGAATGACCCATTCCATGGATACCAGTTGGTCTCTTTCCCCAGACAACCCTGTCATCACCCAGTTGGCTTATTAAAAAAATGGCCCTGGTGGCAGGGATGAAGGTAATGCATGGGCTCAGCAAAATGGACTTCCACTCACCAAAGCCAACCTGGTTACAGCCACTACTGAGTGCCAAGACTGCTAGTAGCAGAAACCAACACTGAGCCCTAATATGGTAACAGTCCCTTGGGTGATGAGCCAGCTACCTGGTGGCAGGCTGATTACATTGGACCACTTCCATCATGAAAGCAACAGTGTTTTGTTCTTGCTGAAATAGACACTCTAGTTATAGACTTGCCTTCACTGCATGCAACGTTTCTGCAAAAACTACCATCAGTGAACATATATAATGCCCTTCTAACCATTGTGATATTCCACACATATTGTTTCTGATGAAGGAACTCACTTCACCACAAAAGAGGCATGGTAATCTCATGCTAATGAAATTCATGTCTTACCATGTTCTTCACCATCCTGAAGCAGCTGGTTTGATAGTACAGTGGAATGGCCTTTTGGAGCTTCAGTTACAGCACTAGCTAGTTGGCAACATATTTCAGGGCTGGGGCAAAGTTCTGCAGAAGGCTGTATATGCTCTGAATCAGCATCCAATTTATGGTGCTGTTTCTTCCATGTCCAGGATTCATGAGTCCAGGAATCAAGGGGTGATAATGGGGGTGGCAACACACTATTACCCCTAGTGACTCAATAACACAATTTACACTCTGTGTTCTCAAGGCTTTATGCTCTAAGGGTCTTAATTCCGGGGGGGGGAAATGTTTCCACGAGGACGAACAATAACGAGTTCATTGAACTTAAAGTTAAGACTGCCACCTGGCCACTTTGGGTTCCTCATGCCTCTGAGTCAACAGGCCGAGAAGAGAACTATGGTGTTGGCTAGGGTAATTGATCTAAACTACCATTGGAAAATCATACTACTGTTCCACAATGGAAGTAAGAAAGGGTGTGTCTGGAATACAGGAGATATCTTAGCGTGTCTGTTACTATCCATGCTCTGTGGTTAAGGTCAATGGAAAACACCACCACCACAACCTAGGCAGGACTACAAATGACCCAGATTCTTCAAGAATAAAGGTTTTTTTCACCCCACCAGGTAAACAAACAAACAAACAGTGAGCTACAGTACTTGCTGAAGGCAAAGGGAATTCAGAATGGGTAGTAAATGAAGGTAGTTTTAAAGACCAGTTACAACCATGTGAGTAGTTACAGACATGAGGACTGTAATTGTCATGAATATTTCTTCCTTGTTTTGAGAGATATACAATTATTAAGCAAATATCTGTGTATTCCTTCCTCTTATTTACTTATCATATAAGATGTATTGACTATATATTGTTATTTAGGCATTGTTAATCTTACAGCATAATATTTAATTTATACATTATCAGGAAAATAGTAAACATGACCCAAGGACTTTACCCTTTCTGAGGAAGGGATTAGTGTGGTTTGGGTTGAATGTAGGATAGTTGTATTATGTCAAGCAAAATTATGACTGTTACTATCTTTATTTGGAGGTGAAGTAGAGTTTAAGGAGATGTGTATGGGTGCCAGTTTGAGAAAGGGTGGGCTTGTGATGATTAATTTATGTCAACTTGACTAGGTTAAGGGTTGCTCAGATAACTGGCAAAGCATTGCTTCCAAGTGTACCTGTGATGGTGTTTCTGAAATAGATTCGCATTTAAATTGGTAGCCCTAGTAAAGAAGATTACCTTCACCAGTGTGGGCAGGCGTCATCCATTCTATTGAGGGCATAAATAGAACAAAGTGGTGGAGAAAAGTTAAATGCACTCCCTCTCTCTGTTTGAGCTGGGACATCCATCTTTTCCTGCCCTGAGCATTGGAGCTCCTGGTTCCTGGGGCTTCATTACACCACCAGCTTTTCTGTTCTCCAGCCTGCGGATGGCAGTTCCTGGAACTTCTCAGCTTCGGTAAACACATGAGTCAATTCCTCTAATAAATCATATATATATTAAAGTATATATTTTTTTCTGCTTTTCTGGGAAACCCTGACCAATACAGTTTGACATCTCATTAAAAAATGTTAGATATTTAATCTGAAAAAATGAAACTAGGATTTCTCCATAAATTCACATATCGTTTGTTCATTCATTTGTTCTCTTTCTAAATATGTATATAAGGAGTTAGATAATACGTATTTTTTTAACTCAGCTCAAACTTTGAGACCAGCCTCCTAAATGCTGAGAGAATAACTAGAGAAGTAAAGCCCCTTGCTTTCAAGGGGCTTTAGTCTCATAAAAATATGAGACACACAGGGAAATTAAAATAGCAACGTGAGATTTATAAAGGGGAACCTGTGTGGAAAGCAAAGATGCAGCTTTAGGGCCATGATATATATATACGTATAGGCTCTCTCTCCAAACCCCGCTAAAGATGAGAGAGATCATGGGTGTGAAGCAAGAGCACGGGAAAAATAAAACCTTTATTGAATCCTTCACTGTTCTTTCTGGGATACAGAGGAATCCATTAACTTGACAAGTGCTCCCATTTGAGCCTCTGTTATATCAAAATTTCTTACAATGACCTGAAGTCCTACACCAGGAGTGATTTTCAGGCAGCAGCATATGCTTTGTCTAAGTATCACAGCTCTCCTCTCAGAGGTGTGTCAGAGACAGGCATTGTTTTAATCAGTCATTATGATGTCTTCTGTTAGATAGTATCTGTAGCTGTTTTTCTACCCAAGTAACTTTTTCTATAAGAACATATTGGGTCATACAAGAGCATATCCTCCTCTTTAGAAGAGAAAAAAGTGATTTATTGTGGAAGGATTTCCTGTCTTTGACAACCATGTTTGAAGGATTTTATAGGTGGGATTTAGTTTCTACTAAAGAGAGTGTCTAGAACACCAAGGAGGCCCTGTCAGTTCTGATATCCATTAGTTTCAGCTCTCAGAAGTCAGAGCTGTGTTTTAAACATCACTGGCTGCCTTTGAGAATTCTTGTGCCTTCCTCTTCTATGGATATCTCTAATCCCTATGATCCATTATAGTATGATAGTTGTTTGGTTGTTTATGTAGGAATGGCATGCATATTCTTGAAAGTAACAATTTCAAAAAAAAAAAACAAAAAGACTTCCATTTATGTGAAGGGGAGCAGAGGGCTTAATAGTTTAGTTTTGTTCTTTTTTTTTTTTTGCCCTAAAACTATCTCATTTGAGATTCAAAGCAGACTTCAACTTTCTAATATTTCAAAAATCACTGAACACATCTGAGGTTACCTTAGATGTATATGGGGTTAAGACTTCCCATACTTATTATGGCTTCAAACTCAGTTCTTCACTCTGTTTTCATTTTTACATCATGAGAAGCTATCTGATTTTGAGTTACACTTTACATGTTTTATGTTTTTATTTTTTATTTTATAACATCCTTATAGTGTTTTGATGAGGAAACTGAGGCGCAGAGAAATTATGATTTTGCCTCAGGTCACACAATGGCCATTGCAAAACTGAATTTAGAACCAGAAACATTGACATCAAGCCCACTTTAATAGACAAATAATATACCTGGAGAAATATCCACCTTTCCATATTACATTGAAATGTGAACCAAAAGAAACCTAGGAGATTGTATTAGTCCATTCTTATGCTGCTATGAAGAAATTCCCAAGACTGGGAAATTTATAAAGAAAAGAGGTTTCATTGACTCACAGTTCCACATGGCTGGGGAGGCCTCAGGAAACTTAAAAGCGTGGCGGAAGGCAACTCCTCACAGGGTGGCAGGAGAGAGAATTAGTGCCCAGTGAAAGGGAAGGCCCCTTATAAAACCATCAGATCTGGTAAGAACTAACTCACTATCATGAGAACAGGATGGGGGAAAGTGCTCCCATAATTCAATTGTCTCTACCTGGTCCCTTCCACGAAACATGGGGATTATGGGAACTATAATTCAAGATAAGATTTGGGTGGGGTCACAGCCAAACCATATCAGAGATTATCAAGTTTGAAGGATCCCCAAGAAAGTTGATTAGATCATTTCATCTGAGGGATCATTATTAATGGCTGTCAGCCAAGGATAAAAAATTATCTCAATAAATTAACCTGAGATCAACTCTGAAATAAAGCAGGTTTCTGCATCACAGAACTCTTTAAGGCCTTTAGAATATTTATGGTTACTTCCCAGGTGAAAATATAGGGGATATGAAATATGTGATCTTCCCAATTTGTTTGATCACAGAACTATTTTGGGGATTGACGTATTTTGCCAAGCACACTCTGAGAAACATGGATCTAAACAAGTTCTATTAATATGTGAAATGGGAAAACAATGCATAGGAAAAGGGAATGATTTGTCCACGGTTACCGCACTAGTTAGTAATACCAGAAAACAAGGAAGGAGAATAAGGTGTGCTCATTAAGTAGCATTTGCATGTGTCTAAAAACCACGCAGTCCTTTTCTACAGCCAATGTAATGCTAATGAGAAAAAATATATCCATCTGTGAAACAAAATATGGAGTAATATGCAAAACATATGACTTTTTTCATATTTTCAAAGATGTCCATCATCATTAAATGCTAGACAGAAAACCCTGGAACGGATTATGGCAACGATAATACTACTTTTGTGTTAAACGTCTATTACACATCTGGAACACAGAGGAGAAGCTTAATATTACTAGCTTAATTATCCTCTCACATGGAAATTATTTAATAATATACATGTTGCTATAAAAGTATGCTTCCCTTATTAAAGATTGTTAAAGGAAGATGAGACCTAGAGATCTTTTAATCTAAATTTTGGTTAGTTTCAGATATGGAAACTGAGGCCCTGTCTGGGTAAACAGCAAGGTCAAATGACTAATTTGTGACAGCACTGGGCTAAGACCCCAGGTTTCCACATTTTCACAGCAAAGTGCTTTCAATCTCATTGTATGAGTGTGTGTAACAATGCCAAATTACTGGAGATAGCTCCTAGGGTGCCACGTTTTACCTGATTTAAACTTCCATTTGGTTTTTCAGGAAAGAGTACGATTTTTAAATGAGATGACTTGTCATTCCCTGGCAGCCAGGGCCCCTGTTCAGTTGAGCCGGAAAGTGAGGACTGCAGCTTTCCCCTCTGGTTATGAGAGCTGGAGTGTCGCTGCTTACTGCATGCATAATTCATCAACCACAGACCACTATTTAAGAAATATTTCTAAATGGATTTTGCTTTTCCCCTTTCTAGGGGAATAATAGCCCTTCTTTCTCATCTATAAGTTCATCTGTGTTGCAGAGCATAAATAGGAGCAATAATCAAAAGAAATAAGAATATGATCTAGCTCAGAACAAAAGAAGAGCAGATGGCAGATTTAGCTCCTCCTTATACAGTAGAGGGAAATACTGAGATGCATTTTGCTATTCTGATTTTTGACTATAGGAGGTAGAAAGATCTAGGAATGTTGCTCCTCGGCCACTTGAACATTTGTCTCTGGATAGATTTGGTGTCATCATGAAGGCTCATACTGTAAGAGGAAGGACCACATTTACCTTATCTGCTTCACGATAACAGACTGCACTATCTTGTCACGCTGTAGTTTTACGTTCAGGGAAAGCTAGGTAATATAATGCAGCATGCATTGGATTTACCTCACCAAAGATTAATTCTACCTCTTAGAGCTTAGCAAGTTAGCTTTTGTTTTTAGGTGGCACGTACTCTGTGGCATAAAAATTAGACATGTAATGCAGATTTGGAAAACTACATGGATACATAAGTGCAAAGCTCGTGGATTTTCACAAACGTAATGTGTCACCCTGATCAAGGAACAGACCATTACTGGCACCAACATACTCTTCTTATGTTTACTTCTAGCCACTGGGTTCACTTGGATGAATACTACCCTCACCTCTGGATTAGTTTTGACTACTATTGAACTTTATATGAGTGTAAACTTTTTGTACAAACCATAGGATATAGTTTAGTTTCTTTTGTTCAACAGTTTGTGCATGTAATTTATCAATATTGTATATAATTATAGACTGTTCATTCTCCTTGCTTTAAAGTATTTCATCATCATGCATTCAACTGTTGATTAGCTTTCCGGTTGTTTCCAGTTCTTGGCCTTTACAAGTAATGCTGCTGTGAACATTCTAGTACATATCTCATAATTTATATGTATACACATTATTTAGAATAACATAGATAAGAATGGAATGTATCTAAAATATATACGTATGTGAATACTCATACATATATATGTCTAACTTTGCTGGATACTGACAAAAAGTTTTCTGATGTGAATGAACCAATTTATACTCCCACTATAGTACATGAGAGTTCTGGGGGCTTCACAGCTTCTAGAACGCTTGATATTTTTTAGCTTTATCATTTTGCTTATTTTGGTGTAAGTAAAGTATTAAAAATTTCTTATATTTTTAATTTGTATTTACTACTAATTACTAAAGCTGCATCTTCTCATGGATTTGTTATTAAAACGTGTCCTTTGTGACATGCCTGCTAGTGTTTTTTGCCCAATCTTCAACTTTTTTCTCATTTTTTATTGATTTGTAAAAGTTATGTACATATATATATGTTTGTCTACATATATATGCAAGTGTGTGTATACATATATGTACGTGTGTGTGTGTGTGTGTGTATATATATATATATATGTAATGAATACAAGTCCTTTAGCAGGTATATGTATTATAAATGTATTCTCTATCTTTCTGGATTGAACTTTCACTCTCTTATTGGTACCTTTTCATAAAGAGGATTTCTTAAATTTGTCATTTTTTTCTTCTTTGGATAGCAAACTCTGTGTACTGTCTCATAGATTTACCCACGTTGATGTCATCAAGACATTCTCTATTTTCCTCTAAAAGGCTAATGTTTGTAAATGGTGTGAAGAACAGATGAAATACATTTTTTCCATATTCTTTTTGTCTATCTATTGAAGCAGCACCATGCATTAGTTAAAGAAAAACAGCATCCTTTCCTCACTAAAGTCTCACTTCTGTCATAAATTGTTTAACTGTAATTCTGCAGAACTGTTACTGGGTTATATTCTGTTCCCTGCTCAGTTGTCTAGCCTTGTGTCAGTAGGACATTACCTCATGCACTCCCTATGATGAGCCTTTCTATTTGGTAGTATAAGTCCTCTGGCTGTCTTTGTCAAGATTGCCTTAACTACTTTTGAATATGTGCACTTCTATATGAATTTGATACTTGGTTTGATGTAAGAAAATTTTTGTATCATTTTTATAGTTACTTTTATTTTTGATTTTTTAATATGTAAAAATTATACCTAGTTCTGGGGTGTATGTGATGTTTTGATACATGCAAACAATGTATAGTGATCAAATCAAGGTAAATGGAATTTCCATCACCTGAAACATTTATCACAGATGGAACTGGAGGATATTATATTAAATGAAATATGTCAGGCACAGAAAGACAAATATCACAAGTTCTCACTCATATGCAGAATTTTAAAGTTGATGTCATGGATGTAGAGAGTAGAATAGTCGTTACCAGAGGTTCAGAAAGGTAGGGAAAAGGAAGAACACAGAGAGGTTGGTTAATGGGTACAAATACACAGTTAGATAGAAGGAAAAAGTTGTAGTGTTCAACAGCACAGTAGGGTTACTATGGTTAACAATCATTTATTGTATATTTCAAAATAGCTAGAAGAAAGATTTGGAATGTCCTCAATACAAGGAAATGCAACATAAAATATATAACTTTGATTCAGATTGAGTTTGGGTGAATTAGCATTTTTACACTATTGAGTCTTTCAGTCCTCAAACAGGATATTCCCCTGTATTTATTGCAGTCTTTTTTAATTACTTTCAGTGAAGATCTGTAATTTTTCAGAGTAGAAATCATGTACATATTTTGTTTTATTTTCTAGACATATTCTTTTTTGTGTGGTATTATACATGTGTGTTTTTCATTTTTTGTTGAAAAAGTCATAGAAGTAAAATGGATTTTTATTAGCCTGGTGCTCTGACATCTTATTAACATCATTTATTCATCTTAAATTTGTTTATAGATTCTTTTGGATTGACAATACACAATTATTGATTCTGTAAGTAATAACTGCTTTATTTTCTATCTTCCCATTCTTATTTTATTTTGTTTTCCCTGCCTTATTCCACTGGGTGGCCCTTTAGCAAAATATTAAATAGAATAATTGAAATCAGATTTCTATATTTTCTTCTTCTCATAGATACAAAATTTTCATCATTTTATTACTATTCATGATTTTAGACATATCTGATTAGATAGAGAAGTTCTATTATTAGTTTACTAAGAGTTTTATCATTCAAAAGTGCTGCATTTTGCCAAAAGTGTTGGCTCCGTCTGTTGAGATGATCACATTATGTGAAGTTTGTCATTATGGAGTACAGCTTTGCATCATACATTGTTACACACACATATGCAACAGTTGCTGGAGTAGTGTCATGGCTCCCTTTGGGGAAGGTACAAAGGAAGACTTAAAGTATATACTTTATACTTCATGTATACACACACACACACACACACACACACACACACATATACAAATTAGTTCAAGCTTGTTACTTTTACATCTTCTGTATCTTTACTGATTGTATCAGTTCAGTTTCTGTGGAAGAAACAGCCATCAAAAGTATTATGGACATAAAGGAATAAGGTGGGAGGAGCCAAGGAACTGAACATCTGGAAGGGAAATTCAGTATCAGAGAAAGAATCACTCACTACTCAGTCTGCCTGAAGTACTGTTGTAGGTGGACAAGTTGGAACCTACAGGGAAATTTTTAAAAGCCAAGCATTTTCACCCACCAACATGGGATCACATATAGGGGGCTCATGAAGAGGTCTGTGGGAAGCTGTGCATCTGTGAGAAGCAGCTGACACCTCAGTGGATCTACTGTCTGCTAGAGGCCTGGGATCAGTTTTTGCAGGAAAAGCCAGTAAATAAATATCAGATAAAATATACTTTAATGCGAACATGATTACTAACAACAAAGAGGACAATCTCATAATAATAAATGGCTAATGCAACAAGGCAATATCAAATTCTAATTTACCCAATAGCATAGTTTTGGAATAAAGTAGAAATTGACAGAACAAAAAGGAAGAATGGAAAAAATCATAATACCAGTGTGCAACTTAAACAAACCTCTGCTGACAACTAATTGAATAAGCCAAGAAAAAGAAAAATTGTGTACCGGACTATGCTATGACAACTTGGCTAAGTCTGGGATCTATGTTTCTCCGAACCCCACCCCCCTCTTTTCTGCATTGTTCTGGATTAAAGATGATGAATAGAAGAACTTACATGAAACCTGGAAGGCAGAGATGAAGCAGTAAATATCTCTCAAGAGTTTTTCACAGGTTGGTATGGTGATGGACAGATGTAGAAACACCCCTGCAGATCCCTGCTTGCTCTAGTGCCTTACTCCTCTAGGCCCACTTTGTCTTTTAGACTGAGTCCCCTGCTTACCAACAGCACCTCCAGGCCCACCACCAGATGCCTGATTGTGAATCAACAGTAAGTCACTAATGATCAGACATGGTAATGGATAGATGCAGAGGCGCCTGAAGCATCCCAGAAGCTGAAGACCAGGTACTACCCCTCGCATTATCTACCACATAAAAGAAGCACACTGTGTGATTGGCCTTTTTAGATTGTGAAGGCAACATACAATGTATTTGAGTGCGTGATTTCTACCCATCTATCCCAGTAAAATAAAATTGCTTCTTGGTGATTCTTACAAATTAGAATGAAGAAAAAATAATTAGCTGGATCAATGACTCACTATCAACTGTCAAAATCTGTGCTGATATACCCTAGTAAATCTAAATCTGGAGTTACTACCTAATTAGGCTCAACATAGCCCACAGTCATTTCCCAAGATCCATCTGATTTATTCACAGGGAAAACAGTAAGTTAAAGAAGTGTTGATGATTACATCAACACTGTGTCTCTCAAGTCTTTAGTGGTGGCACTAATCTGTTATTCTCCAAGGGATATACCATTGTTCCTTGTTTGCTATTTTGTAATGGAGAGAAAATTCCAGGGGCTTCTGCTCAGCCCTTCTATTATAATGGCTCTTATCCCATGGGTGAGAGATCCCATGTGAGAATTCCACCAATTGTCAAGTATATCTATTCTAATCATACATTCAGGAATTAGGGAAATAGCCACAGGATAGGTCTGTAGAACAATTGAGCTGACTGTAAATTGAATGTGAACTAAGACCACCACAGTCACGACTTTGGTTATCTATGGTGGCATTTATCTATGGTGGCATTTTGGGGTATGAGAAATTAATGTTATTTCAGAGCCAGTGTGTGGTAATATCAAACATGTCTGGATAATCCCTTTGGTACAGTACACGGTTCCTGGAGTAGTGTCATAGTTCCCTTTGGGGAAGGTACAAAGGAAGACTTAAAGTATATACTTATATGAAGCTCTTTCTATTTTCTGACAACATGATCTTATATAGAGAAAAACACAAAGGCTCCATACACACACACACACACACACACACACAACTATTAAAACTGATAAATTCAGCAAACTTACAGGATACAAAATCAACCTACAAAAATCAGTAGCATTCTGTATAATAAATACAAACTATCCAAAGGGGAAATTAAGAAAACAATTCCATTTACAATAGGAACAAAATAAATACTTACATGTCAATTTAAACAAGATGATAAAAGACCTATATACTGAAAACTATTAAACACTAATTAAATAAATTGAAGAAAACACAAATTAATGGAAAGATATACTG
Organism: Homo sapiens; assembly: GCF_000001405.40. Lineage (NCBI taxonomy): Eukaryota > Metazoa > Chordata > Mammalia > Primates > Hominidae > Homo > Homo sapiens. Next base: position 107,366,465 of record NC_000010.11, on the reverse strand, counting down.
TGTTCATGGATTAGAAAAAATAATGTTGTGAAAAAATCCATACTACCCAAGTGGTCTACAGATTCAATGTAATCCATATTAAAATTCTAACGTCATTTTTCACAGAAAAAAAAACTATACCTAAATTCATATGGAACCACATAAGACTTCAAGAGTCAAAACAATCTTAAGCAAAAAGAGCAAAGCTGGAGGCATCACATTCCTCAGTTTCAAACAAATATTATAAAGCAATTATAATCACAACAGCATGGTACTGGCACAGAAACAGGTACACTGACCAATGGAAGAGAAGAGAAAACCTACAAATAAACCCATGCATTTATAATCAATTGACTTTTGGCAAAGATGCCGAGAACACAAAATGGGGAAAAGACACAGTCTTCAATAAATGATGTTGGGAAAACTGGATATCCACATGCAGGAGAATAAAATTAGACGCTTATTTTACACCATTTACAAAAAACAAACCTCAAAATATATTAAAGATTTAAATACAACACCTGAAACTGGTAAAACTACTAGAAGAAAACAGGAGAAAACCCTCAAGACTTTGGTCTGTGCAATAATTTTTAGGATATAACCCCAAAAGCACAGACAAAAAAAGCAAAAACAGAAAATGGGATGGCATCAAACTAAAAAGCTTCTGTACATCAAAGGGAGGAATTAAGAAAGTGAAGAGCTGGCCCACAGAATAGCAGCAAATATTTGCAAACTGTGTATCTGATAAACGGTTAATATCCAAAATATACATGGAACTGAAACAACTCAATAGTAAGAAAACAACCTGACTTTAAAAATGGGCAAAAGGCCTGAGCATGTATTTCTCAAAAGAAGACATACAAATGGCAAACAGGTACATTTTTAAAAACATGTTTAGCAACACTAATCATTAGAAAAATGCAAATTAAAACCACAGTAAGATATCACCTCACATGCTAGAATGACTTTTAGCAAAAAGATGAAAGATAGTGTTGGAGAGAATACAGAGCAAAGGGAACTCTTATACATTGTTGTTTGTGGGAATGAAAATTAGTACAACCATTATGAAAACTGTATGGAGGTTCTTCAAAAAACTAAAAAGAGAGCTAACATATTATCCACTAATCCCACTTCTAGGTATATATCCAAAGGAACTGAACTCAGTATTTCAGAGGCATATCTGCACTCTCATGTTCATTGTAGCAGTATTCACAATAGCCAAGATATGGAGTCAACCTAACTGTTTATCCACGGATGAACAGATTAAAGATGTGGTATATATTCACAATGAAATACTGCTCAGCCTTAAGAAGGGGTAAATCCTGTCATTTGTGACAACATGAATGAATCAGAGGACATTATGCTAAGTGAAATAAGCCAAGCACAGAAAGACAAATACCACATTACGTCATGTATATATAAAATCCAATAAAGTTTAACTTACAGACAAATAGATCATAATGATGGTTACTAGAGGTTGGAGGGATAGGGAGCGAAGGAATGGAGAATTGTCAGTCAATAGATACAAAGATTCAGGTAGAAAAGAGAAATAGATTTTGAGATCTGTTGCACAGTAGGGTCATTGGAGTCAATAATAACATTCATTTCAAAATAACAGTAAATTTTAGATGTCTCATCATAAAAAAATGTATGGAAAGCGATGTATATATCAATTAGCTTGAGTCTGAAAACTAGGAGAGATATTATGACTTTCAATTGTGATAAGTTAAATCAGGATTTGGGCTACTAGACCTGGAATATTTGTATTATATAGATTTGAGAAATATATTCTGGTTGATTTCCTATCTATATAATTCCTAAGAAAATTGTTTTCAAATAACCATACCCACAGGTCTCTGAAGCTTAAAACAATCCTGATTATCTATACCTTTTTGCTTCCTTTTTAAAATAATAAATGTGTCCATTTTGTCTGTGCCACCTTGCCTCTGCTACTCCAGAATACCATCCACTGTAGAAGGTGGGACTCAACTCTGGAGGCAGGGCTCAGACAGTGGACCAGATTCAGGACTAGAGAAGACAGGGAAGAGGTGAAAGCATCTCCCCATACGAGATGCCAGGACAATGGCAACACCTGGAAGTTACCACCCTTTTCCATGGCAATGACACAGTGACCCAGAAGTTACCAACTTTTTCTATAAATTTCTGCGTAATCCATTACTTAATTTATTTATAATTAAAAGTTTGTACAAATATGACTGCAGAACTAAACAGCTACTGTAGGCACACACCTGTGGGGTTGCCCTGCTCCACAAAGAGTAGTACCTCTGCTGCTGCTGTAAACAAGCTGCTTCCATAAAAGTTGCTGTTTTAATACCACCAACTCACCCTTGAATTCTTTCCTGGGTGAAGCCAACAACTCTCCTGGGTTAAGCCCAATTTGGGGGTTGACCTGCCCTGTGTCATTACCAGTAAAATGAGAACGTTTATCTAATTGGAGAAATTACCCATGGTCATATCTAGCCTACAAAGAAGAGAAAATACAGTGATTCAAGTTTCATTGTATTCCTCTCATTGATATATTTATCAACCTTCCAATTGAAGGAAGTGTCTTCTAGGCCTTTACAAAGAATGTAACCAGGGTTTAGGTATACAAGTTGCATATGATAAATCTGTCATGTTTCTATATAAATCTGTCCATATTCCTCTTCTGAAATGCATTATTTTTGGGGGAAATTAAAATGTGATGCAAAGATCCTTATACTTTGTGAATTCCCCATATATCATCCCTATACTTCTTTCCAGAACCTTTTTCCTATTGATTTTCTAGTAACAGTCCTTCAAGCCTCTGAGAAAACAACCCAGTCATTTGCTACTCTCTAGAATTCCCTTGGGCTGTTTCCTTTTTCCCCCACACAAAGTGCAATACCTTAGGCTTTACCTACTGAGAGGATTTCTCTTCTTCACTGTCTTTCAAGGACACCCATAGGCAAGATGTAGCTCACCATTAATCTATTATTGTTGCCTTAGAATAATTTACCCACATAGCCCATTAGTGAACAAAGCCTGGACATATTTTTCCTCCTCTTTCAGACTGTCATGCAGAATCTTTCAGAAGCCAATGGAAGTTTATAGGAGCAGCACTGGTGCAACAATGGTGGGTCACATGGGAATCTGTTCCTCTTTTTTCACGCAGCTTACTAGGGCCATTTCATCCTACTGAGGGCTGATTCCTGATATGCTGCTTTAACTGTATAATAAATTATTATTGGTCCTGCCTGATTCTTATGATTGTGGATATGAAAGCTCTCAGCTCGTGATGGACAACACTGGTTATGTTCACTTGAGGTATTAGTCCGTTCTCATGCTGCTATGAAGAAATACCAGAGACAGGGTATTTTATAAAGCAAAGAAGTTTAATTGACACACAGTTCCACATGGCTGGGAAGGCCTCAGGACACTTTAAACTATGGTGGAAGGCATCTCTTCACAGGGATGAGAAGAGGGAATGAGTGCCAGCAGGGAAATGCCAGATGCTTAAAAAACCATCAAATCTCATGAGAATTCACTCTCTATCAAGAGAACAGTACAGAGAAAACCACCAGCATAATTCAATTACCTCCCATCAGGTCCCTCCCATGACACATGGGGATTATGAGATTAAAATTGAAGAGGAGATTTGGGTGGGGACACAAAGCCAAACCATATCACTTGCTATATCATGGCCAGTTACTTTTTCTCTACCATAGCCCAGTAGGTCATCAGAAGCTGCTATTTAAATGGTTAACAATTATCTGTTACAGAATATATGCTTTTTTTCCCGAACCCTAGGCTTCTGCCTTTCTTATTGGGTCTTTCAGGAGATCTATACAGTGCCTTTATTTATCCAATGAAGATCAATTACTATAATATTCACTGGGTCATATAGTCCTAGAAACAGGGCTGCTTTTATCACAGCCTATACCTAATGCCAATCCCTTTCTTCCCCTGGCCCTCATGCACAGCTGGCTGCTATCAGCCTCACTGTGTAAATGAGACATAGCAGTATTTCTAAGTGCAGTATTTGAACTTGAATTGGTCTAACAACTTCTGTGTTCCTTTTCTTGTGATACAAAGATTCAAATGCAGTAACTTGTCACTTACTTTGGAGTGCTGTCTCATCAATGCCCCAAACCACTTGAGCCCTAAAAGCTTTTCTGAGCTGGGCACATGGTTATGTATGCCTGTAGTCCCAGCTACTAGGGAGGTTGAGGTAGGAAGATTGTTTAAGCACAGTAAGGAGTTCAAGGACAATCTGAACAACATATTGAGGCCCCCATCTCTAAAAAAAGGTTAAAAAATCAAAACTTTTCTAATGTGTCAGAACCCTAAATAGTTGTACAGTTTATCTCCTACCATTTGGTGTACACATGTGTTATCAGTGCTCCCAAAGCACTTCATACTTCTTGTTCAATAGGTTTAAGGTTATTAATACAGTTGATCATCATGAAAGTCTTTGGGATATCCAGATGATCTGGGACCTTTCAGGCTCTACTGTTACAAAGTAAGGGGATAGCACAACCCTGAGGCAAGAGAGTGAATGTTTACTGTTGTTCATTCCAGGCAAATGTGAAACTCTTGTAATTCCCCTGTAATGATGATTGTTGGAAACAACATATGAAGCATTTCAAGAGCCAAATTTTATGAACCAGAGACCAGGCTGATCAGTACTAATCTATCTATCTATCTATCTATCTATCTATCTATCTATCTATCTATCTGGCATAGAGCTGCATTTGAAGCTGCTCATTAGTTCAGTTTACAGTAGTCTAATAATGTCAATTGCTACTCATCTGGATTTTTGAGGAGTCATACTGGTGAATTAAAGAGAGAAATAATGGGGACCACCATTCCTGTGTTATCCAGGTCCTTTAAGATCGTACTAATCTCTGCCTTTCTAATTCAGTTGCCTTTGATTTAATATGGCCAAGACATATTTTCAGAGGCTTTCACCTTTCCTACAACAATAGCTCTTCCTTCAACATGTCAAAGAACTAATGTGAGTTTTGTGCCAAGTTTTAATTATGTCCATTAAAATTATGTATATGGGAAGCAAAGAAGTGATTACTGTGCTACAGTCTAAGCCAGGTATCCACTAGTTACTTGACCCTCAGGTGCTCTTACTTTATCAGGGGTCCCTGAAAGTGCTTTTTTCTCCTAGTGTCTGAACTTGTCTTACAAACTCAGTGTTACCATAGAGCATCTCTTGAATGATTTCAGATTTTCCAGCATTAAAATTAGACATCTAAGAACTACCTATGACACTGACCCAGGCCTGGATTCTACTCATTACTTGAACCCCATACACTTCACTTTATTGGAAGGAGCCTGTATTAGTCAGGAGTCTCCCAAGAAAGAGAAGAAATAGGATAGGAATAGAAAGTCCAAAATCTGCAAGGTGAGCCAGCAGGCTGGAGACCTCGGAAGAAACAGTGTTGCAGTTCCACTGTGAAAGCCTCTGCCAGCCATTCTTGCTCCAGGGAAATCAGTCTTTTTTTTCTATTCAGGCCTAAACTCATGGGATGAAACTTACCCACATCATGAAAAGCAATGTGTTTTACTCTATGTCTACCAGTTTAAATATTAATCTTATTCAAAATGATCCTGGCAGAAATATCCAGAATAATGTTTGATCACATATTTCCGCATCATTTTCCTGCAAAGTTGACGCCACTGTTGAGCCTTATAAAATTTTATTTCTCCATGTTTCAGGCTAGCCCTTGCATCTAACTGGCTCTGTAGAGATCGAAGTATCCTGCTTTCCTGCTTCCTCTTATGTACAGTTAATTTGGTAATTCAAGGAATATCGACTTTTAGAATCACTGCCATTGCGCTTGCTAAGCTACTACAGGTTTTGTTTGTTTGTTTCTCAAGATGTATTCACCTCTCTTTCAAGTGGTTTGTTTTGTGTCTGAGAATTAGCTCAGATCTGGAAACCAGGCAAGGTATAATGCGTTTCATTGGCACATCTGACACAAACCTTCTGTTAATCTATTATTTATTTATTTTTATTATATATATAATTTATTTTATATATAAGAATATTTTATTATATATAATTTTAGAATATTTCATTTCATATATATATATATGGCAATTTCTTGTCAGATATTCAACTGCCCATCTTTTTTGAACTGAAGAATACATGATTTGTCAGCCATCTCCACAAATCAAGGCCCACTGAATGTCTATGATAATTATGCCCACCGTTCCTCTGATATTTATGTTCTAACCCTGGCTTCTGCCATTCTAGAATCCTATCTATGCCAGTGAAACTAGGGAGCCCAGTTTTTTAACAGCATCTCCTACTATCATCTCTGGCTTAAAAAGAGCAGTCCATAGCTGGACTGCTCACCGGTGTCAATGCATTCTCCTCCAGCATGCTTCTTACCATTTTAGCAGAGGAATATCTTTTGCACCCTCTTCGATAACATGACTTGATGATGACACTTTAAGTCTTATGTAATATTAATAGGTATTTTAGCATTTCAACTTATCTGAATCCTTGATCTCTACCTAGCTACCCTGCCAAAGTAATTCTGGCATATCTATTTCATTTAATGTGAGCCACTAGTTTTTCCAACCTTCTAGTAGCCATCCTAGAAGCATGTTAGAACCAGTTCCAGGGGTGCTGGGTTGGGTATCAAGTCCTAAATTTTAGGAGAGGGTCCCTATATAGACAAGATCTACTGTCAAGGTATTATTATTCAGCTCCCACCTGGATATATTATGCAGGTCTTCTTCAGTGTATAATCTCTAAATATAAACCCCTCTCTCCTTAGCGGGCACAGTACTTCTCCAATAAGGCCATGTTAAGACTTGACCTTGGTTGTTGTTCTGACATCCAGAGGATGGACCTTGTAGGTATCTGCCTCGTTTGAGGTCGCTGCATACTCTTTAGCTAAAATATGGACTACAGTCTCAAACAGGGGAAGCAAACTTCTTCTCCAGGTCCAAAGTCTTCTGGGGAATCTGGAGGGTCAACATTCACAAGCCCAACCAAATATTCTCATCCTGCGTTTAAGGGTTCCACTTATTTCCTTTCAGGGGCCTGATTTGGCAGAGCTACCAACCCTGCAAATTCAGCCTTTTTTCAGGTTCTGCAATTTCTACAATTAAGTCCCATCTTGGTGGTCACTACATTTTTCTCTCTGGTTACTGGTAAAGGACACTTTAAATGCTGCCATGTAAACCACCAGGATTTGATATATTGCCTCATGTTGTTAACTGGTCACATTTGCCATTTTCTCTCTCAGAGCTTCAGTGGTGCTCAGCAGCAGTCACTCAACCCCAGTGTCCTTATAATTACTATTTTCCTCATATCTCACAAGTCCCAGAGATACTGCACTACCTCTTCCATCAGTATCCCATCCCAGTCAAACAGAGATAAAAGCCTCAGCAATTGTAATGCTGCAGCATGCCAGTGGCTATCACCGTTCCACTCTCCACCCATGTTGGATTTTTCATTGCCAGTTAGTCGACGAGTGCACCAACTCCAGAATCCTATTCTTAGAAGTACCAACTGTTGGCTGACTGGGAATAGTGGCTCATGCCCGTAATCCCACCCAGCACTTTGGGAGGTTGAAGCAGGAGGATCACTTGAGGCCAGGAGTTTGAGAAAAACCTGGGCAACATAGTGAGAAAAAAAAAAAGAAAGAAAGAAAAATTAGCCAGGCATGGTGATGCATGCCTATAGTCCCAGCTACTCAGTAGGCTGAGGTGGGAGGATTGCTTGAGCCTAGGAAGTTGAGGCTACAGTGAGCCATAATCGTACCATCCAGCCTGTACTCCATCCAGCCTGGGTGACAGAGTGAGGCTGTGCCACACACACAGAAAAAAGTATCTTAAGTCATATTGTCTAAAGAAGCCATCAGAGTTAGAGAGTTAGAATACATGTTCAAATATTTTGTTAAGGGAATACCACAAGATTAAACCAGTAAGTGAATGGTGAAAAGTACATTAATGAAAAGGAAGAAACCAAACTAAGACTAATTTCAACTGAAGCTCCATCCTCAGTCTGATCACATGAGAAGCTCTAGGGTTTAAATTTTTCAGTTCATCCCACATTGATAAAAGAAAGCTGGGCTCTTGTATTCCCTAACCAAGTATTTATTGGCTGTGAGCTTCTGTAGAACAGAGGGCATGGTATAACCCCCAGGACTTTCTGGATGTTCACGAAAGTAAAGTGTCTCTATACCCAAGGGCATACTCTGAAGAAAGTCGTGGGTGGAAACCCATAAGTGCAAAGCTCACTGAAGCTAAAATATGGTTTAGAGGCCCAGAAAATAAAATAGATCCAAGTGAACCTAGAAAGAACACCAACCATCTGCTATGCCTTCGTAATTTTTCCAAGACATAAGAGAGCACTGTGGCAACACAGGATCGGATTAATACTGATACCTAGGAATTTGCATGGCATTAAACATTTTTCAGGTCTATTATATTTTTGTAATCACAATATTCAATTAAATAGGCAGAAGAGATATGTTTTATGATTGATGAAGAAACATTGTTACAAGGTCTTCAAAATAGTTAAGTTATCCCACAGATAGGGCCAAAGCCCAGATTGCTTAACTCTTTGTACAAGAATCTTGTTCTTCCATTAATGGATGGGTCTTAATATACTTGAGCATCTCCCAGATTTGTTATTCATCTGTCTAAAGATGTTTTCTCATCTATGAGTCTTTTTACGTTCAATATTCTACAAAATCAATGTTCTGTACCAAACATCAAATATTAATGTGATCAACATTATGCTGGAAGACCCAGGTGATCCTGAAGAGGACCAGGAACACCTTCTTTTTCTATAAAGGACTTGTATGTTATGGATTGAATTGTGTCCTCAGAAAAAGATATGTTGAAATCCTAATCACTAATACCTGTGAATGTGACTTTAATTGGAAATAGAGTCTTCGCAAATTTAGTCAACTTGAGATGAGATCACCAGGGTGGACCTCAATCCAGTATGACTGGTGTTGCTTTAAGAAGACAACTATGGAAAGATAGGAAAGCAGGGAGAATTCCATGTGATGGCAAACGCAGAGATGCCACTGCAAGTCAATGAATGCTAGGATTGATGGCCTTTGCTGGTGCTAAGAGGTAAAGAGGACTCTTCCCTATAGGCTTTCAAAGGAATCATGGCCCTGCCAACAACTTAATTTCAGACATCTAGTCTCCAAAAGTGTGAGATGATAAATGTCTGTTGTTTTAAGCTTCCCAGTTTGAGGCATTTTGTTATGGCAGCACTGGAAAACTAACACATGTTTTATGTAAAGAGTCAAGAATAACACACATGACAAGATTCAACATAAGGCTAATTATACATGTGAGCCCAGTGTAAAAAAAGGAACATTAGAAGAATTGTTTTGGAATCTTGATTCCATGAGGTCCATTTTTTAACTTTTTGTAAATCATTCACCCTTTCTGAATCTTAAGTCCTTCATAGAAGCTATTTTGTTCGTTTATTCCTTAGAAGGAATACCAAGCCAAGCAAAAAGAGCTGTTAGGAAAAGAAAGATGAGCAGTATTACCTGCTTAATTTCTGTTTTAACCTGGGGGGAGAGATTTACATTATTACTTCTTAATGATGGTATAAAAGCAACTTTTTCTGTATGAATCCTTACAAAGTAAGTTTTAAACAATCCAAAAATACCAAAGGCTCTCTGGATTTGGGCTGCATTTAACTTTCCATTTCAAATTTCCAGGGACTGACATTTGGTTTGTTAAGGCTCCTTGTTTAACTGACACACATTCATATATTTGTGCCACACTGAAGAAAAGACAGAGATAAAATGAGAGGGGAATATTGTTAAGACATCTGCATGATGGCAACCCATCAGAAAAATGCTAAACCACGTTAAGGAGACATGAACATGAACAAACTTGGAAGTCACTTGTGTCATTGGAATACTTTACCAAGCTACTGTGCACAGAAGAGAGACATTTGGATCACAAGTGCTTCCAGAAAGTGGAAAGTTCTAAATATATTCATAGCCGACCCCCTCAGGGTTTGGGTTTTGTTCCAGATCCAGTTTAAGAGTCTTATTTTAAATAAAAGCTTTTACTCAATCTGTAATGAATTGAGATTCCAGCAGGTAGAACTCATTGAGGGAAATTGCTTCCTGCTATGATATATGATTCATTCATTTATCTCTCTGAGCTATGTAGAGGAAATTATCCATGGGATTGTGTCATTAGTTTAAAACTTTTGTAATTGTTTTCTTGTCAATATAATTTTAAAACATGTTTTAGTTGGAAAAAATATTTTGGACAAAGCATCTAACTATTTTCATGTTGTTGAAATTAAAATTTCAGAGATCTTTTTTCCTTTTTAACCAATTGGATGAATAAGCCTGAGAAGAGTCAATGCTCTCCTATATGTCACAAGATTTAATTCCCCGTATTAAATCCTCTATTAGACACACAATGCCAGGTCTGAGTATAATGACATAAGAAAAAGTTTTTCAAGAAAAATTTTCTTGAAAGTTGCTCTGTGATTCATCACCTGGATATGACAACTGGGTTTCTGAGTTCCATATGGAATCTGAGCTACTTCTCCAAAATCTATATGGCATTCAAGTTACTCCTCTGAAATTATTTTTCTAATAGGTAAGAAATGGAAAATCATATTCATAAAGTGATGTGGTTTGGTTGTGTCACCCAAATCTCATCTTGAATTGTAACTCCCACAATTCCCATGTGTGGTGGGAGGAACCTGGTTGGGGATATTTGAATCATGGGGGTGGGTCCTTCCCATGCTGTTCTTGTGATAGTGAGTAAGTCTCACGACATCCGATGATTTTATACACGGGAGTTTCCCTGCACAAGCTCTCTTCTCTTGTCTGTTGCTATGTGAGATGTGCCTTTTCCCTTCCACCATGATTGTGAGGCCCGCCCAGCCACGTGGTAAGTCCATTAAACCTCTTTTTTTTTGTAAATTGCCCAGGTATGTCTTTATCAGCAGTGTGAAAATGGACTAATACTTTAAAGGAAACATTAAAACATTGGGGGAAATAAATGATGGGAAAATTATGCCTACATAACATGCTATTTTGTTATTCCTCATGGGGGAACACTAAATGTCTAAAAGAAGCAAGTAAACAAAATCTAAATAAATAAATACCCCCTAAAAGCTAAAAGCAAATGAATGAATATTGAAAAAAAAATCATTGAATATTGTGTCAGTTTTTGATTCAAATAAACAAAAGTATCTTACTTTTGATTATTTGTTTGCTTTGCATTTCCTGTAAGATATGTTTATTTTTCTACAGGGAGATAGTGGTTGTTTTTCTTCTTTAGACTATGGCAATACTATTTAACATTTAAAGTTTGTCTTTTAGGGTGCTTTCCTATGTGGCCTAGGGTTCAGTTTTTAGTAAAGGCTTTGCTGAAGTTTGAATGGGGACAGGGATGCCAGGTGGGTCGGTTCTCAGGCCCCAGTGGTGGTAGTGGTGGGCTGAGTGTGCCTGTTTTAAGCCCTAGGGTCGTATGCACTGGTGCCAGTGTTAGTGTGTCCCAGTAGGCTTATTCTCGGGCTTCCAGGTAGATTGCTGGAATGCTAGTAGTTGCAGCAGTGGGCCAGGTAGGTCAGTGCCTTCTTGGGCCTCTAGGCAGTGGATGTGGCATTGGCAATGGCAATAGTAGTGGTAAGACAAACCTTTCACTCCCAAGCAGTTCATGTAGTTGTTGTTCGTGGCTGTGACAGGCTGGGTGAGGCAGTCCCTAGGTCCACAGGTGGTATGTGTAGGTGCATGTAAGCTGCTGTGGTAGTGGCAGGTTGGGTGGATCCATCTTGAAGCCCAAGGAGGAATGCTTAGATGCAAATGGTGGTGGAGTGGGCTGGATAATCCCTAGGCTTCTGGACAGCATGCTTTGGCACTGGGATTGCAGGGGGTAGAAATACAGAATATACATTCTCAGCACATGGAAATTTCTCCAGGATAGACCATATATTAGGACATGAAACAAGTCTCAACAAATTTATAAATTCAAAGTTATATCAAGTATCTTCTCAAACCACAAATGAGTAATTCTAGAAATTAGTAAATAGGAGAAATTGGAGGAAATTTGCAAACTGTAAAAACACACGGAAATTAAACAAAATGCTCCTGAATGAACACTGGTTCAAGGAAGAAATTAAGGAAGTAACCAAAAATTTCTTAAAACAAATGAAAATCAAAGCAACGTATCGAAAGCTATGGGATACAGCAAAAGCATTGCTAAAAGGGAAGTCTTAACAGTAAATACCTTTCTCAAAATAGAAAAATTTAAACGAACAATCTAACGATGAACTTCAAGGAATTAGAGAAGCAAGAACAAACAAAAGTCAAGATTAATAGAAGGAAAGAAATAATAAAGATCATAGAAAAATTAAACAAAATAGAGATTAAAGAGAATACAAAGGATCAACAAAATGAAAATGATAAATGCTTGCAGTGATGGACACCCAAATATGCTGGCTTGATCATTACACAGTCTATACATGTGACAAAATTTCAAATGTATCCCATAAATATGTACAAATGTGACATATCTGTTTTAATAATGAAAACTTTATATATTCTGGATACAAGCCATTTGTCAAATGTATCATTTGCAAATACTTTATCCCAGAGTGGCTTGTATGTTCTTTTTCTTAACTGTGTCTTTTGAAATACTATTTATCAATTTTTTTCTTTTTATGGATTTTACTATTGTTGCTATATCTAGAAAATGTGCCTGATATAAAGCACTGTTCCTATGTTTTCACCTAGCAATTTTATAGTTTTAGGTTTTTTACACTGAAGTCTATAATCTATTTGGAGTTCATTTTCGTATGGTATAAGGATCTTTTACTGTTTTCTAAATGTGGATATCCAGTTTTTCCAGAAGCATTTATTGACCTGATTATTCTTTCTTCTCTAATTGTCCTTGTATATTTATCAAAAATCAATTGACCATATGAGTAAAATCAACTTCTAAACTCTATACTTTGTTACTACTTTGTTTTATTTATCTATCTGTCAAACTTTAGGCTAATTGTACATTATCTTGATGATTTAGCTTTATTTACAAAGTCTTGATATAAGGTAATGTGAAGTCACCAAATTTATTCTCTTTCAAAGTTATACAGGCAATTCTAGATCCGTTGCATTTCTTATGAATTTTAGAACAATTTGTCAATTTCTACCAATTATTGCCTGCTGGGTTTGTAGAGAATTGACTTTTTTTTTTTTTTTTTTTTTTTTTTTTGAGACAGAGTTTCATTCTGTCGCCCAGGCTGGAGCGCAGTGGCGGGATCTCTGCTCACTGCAAGCTCCGCCTCCCGGGTTCACGCCATTCTCCTGCCTCAGCCTCCGGAGTAGCTAGAACTACAGGTGCCCGCCACCATGCCCGGCTAATTTTCTGCATTTTTAGTAGAGACAGGGTTTCACCGTGTTAGCCAGGATGGTCTCCATCTCCTGACCTCGTGATCCGCCCGCCTCGGCCTCCCAATGTGCTGGGATTACAGGCGTGAGCCACTGCGCCCTGCAGAGAATTGACATCTTAATAAAATTGAATATACCAATCCATGTACATGTTATATCTTTTCATTTATTTACATCTACTGTAATTTCAGTCCTCTGTATTTTCTAGTTTTCACTATACAAAATTTGCACCTTCTTTATCAGATTTACCCCTAAGTATTTCATATTTTGAGACATTGTAAATGATATTTTTAATTATAAACTTTTATTTTTTATTATATGAAACACATTTGGTTTCTTTTGGTATACTAATTTCATATTCAACCATCTACTAAACTCTCCTTTTAGTTATAGTAGGCCTTTTTTAAATTTAATAAATTTTTCGACATAGGCAATCATATGTCCTGTTAATAGAGCCAATTTTATTTTATTTTATTTTATTTTATTTTTTACTTTTTTTATTTAGAGATAAAGTCTCACTCTGCTACCCAGGGTGGAATGCAGTGGTGCAATCATGGGTCACTACAGCCTCGACCTTTAGGGCTCAGGCAATCCTCCTGCCCCAGCCTCCTGAGTAGCTGGGACTACAGGCACATGCCATCATGCCCAGCTAATTTTTTTGTCTTTTTGTAGAGACGACCTCCTGCCATGTTGCCCAGACTGGTCTTGAACTACTCACCTCAAGTGATAATCCCACCTAGGCTGTGATTACAAAGTGCTGGATTACAGGCATGAGCCACCATGCACAGCCAATAAAGTCAGTTTTAATTCTTAATTTGCAATCTGGACTTCTGTTGCCTTCTTTCATTTTATTATTTTATTGTACTAGCTGGAAATTCCAGTAATAAAAGTAAAGAGAGCATTACGTCTTTCACCATGAAGTCTCATAAGAGCTTGGTCAAAGATGTTCATTACCAGGTTAAGAAACTTCCTTTCTATTCCTACTTAGAACTCAGAGTTTTTACACAGATTAAAATTAGATATTTGATTTTGTTAGATAATTTTCAGCCTTGATTGATTTTTTAAAAAAATTAAAATAGTATATTACATTGGTTTTGTTTGTTCGTTTTTATTTCAAGACAGCATTGAATTCCTGAGATAAACTACACTTGATTATGGTGTTACCATTTTTAAATAAATATTGTTAGATTCTATTTGCTAATATTTTGTTAAGAATGTTTTTTATCTCTGTTCATGAGGGACTTTAAAAACTTATTGTCTTCTAATGTTGTCTTAGTATCAAAATAATGCTTATTGCTTGCCTCATTGAATAATATCGGGAGTAGTATCTCCTCTCTTTTTATCAGGAATTTTAAAAATAGAACTTATATTAGTCTTCCCTAAATGTTTGATAGTATTCACCAGTGAAGCCATATGGCCCAGAATCTTCTGAGAAATTTTTAAACTATAAATTCAACTTCTTTAATAGATAAAAGGCTGTTCAAATAATATTTTTAATCAATCTTTGCTATTATGAGTATTTTATATTGATCCAAATTTCCATCTGATAGAGTTTTTCTTCTGCCTGATATATTTTCTGTAATATTTCCTGTTCATGAATTCTTTCAGGTTGGATGTATCAAAACTTTTCCCCCATCATTACTGAAATATATTTCTACTATTTATAGAATGCTATTTTAACAGATTTTTTTCAGTACTTAAAAATGTTGCTCTGCTATCTCCTGGGATGCATTGTTTCCAAGGAGAAGTTGGTTCTGATTTTTTTCTTAGTTCCTTTGCATGTATTTTTTTTTTCCACTGGCTGATTTTAAGGTTTTCTCATCATATTGGTTTTGAGAAATTTCAATGAGGGGACTTTGTGTAGGTTTCTTTGTATTTCCTGTACTTTGGTTATATTGAGCTTTGTGGATTTTTCGAATGATAGTTTTCATCAAATTTGGAAATTTTTCATCTATTGTTTCTTCAAACATTTTCTGCTTGTTCATCCCCTTCTGTTCATTTATTCTTAGAGATTTCAATGACATGTATGTCGAGCTGCTTGATGTTATCTTAAAGCTCACTAACGACCTCAACATTTTTCAATCTTTATATTCCTCAGTGCGTTTTACTTTAGATAGTTTCCATTGTTATGGCATTCAGTTTACTAATCATACTTTACCTTAAATCCCCTCAATTATATTTTTTAATCTCAAAATGTAGTTTTCTTCTCTAGAGATTCTAGATTTAAAAAAAAATTCGTCTCTGCTTTTACTTAAGAGGTACAACTTTTACTATAGCTTCTTAAAAATAAGAAGTATTCTTATAATAGCAGTAATAATAGTTATAATAGCTGTTGCAATGCCATCGTCTACCAAGTCTATAATTTTTTTCATTATTTCTTTATGTGTTCCTATTGATTAATTTTCTGATTATTATGGGTCTTTTTTACTGGTTCTTTTCATGCCTGATAATTTTTAAATTAGATGTCATACTTCGTGAATTTTACTTTTTGTGTGCTGGATATTGATAAAGGGCTGAAAAAACAAACAGGTATTGTATCACTCTTCTTTGAAGTTAGAGGAGTCTATATGACATAGATCTGATCAATAAAATATATAGATCTATCTGATCTGAGGGCTTCTAGAAAATACTCCATGATAAAATGACAGTCATAGGGAAAACCATATTTTCTTTCTGCCTTCATTTTCCTATTTTGGACTTTTATTATGTGAAAAATTGTTTCCTGGAGGAAGGCATGATGTTGCAAGTGTAAGAGTCAAATCACCAGCTTAGAGACAACGTAAGAGTAGAAAGAATTTAGGTTCTTTATGACATTGTTGTAAAAACTATAATATACCTACAAGTGTTCAACTTTCCAATTTAACTATAAATGCCATTATAGTTGAGGCCATTGTTATTTTCATTAGTGGTGGTATGTATTGTTACTTACAGTTTGAATACCCCTAGATTTTTAAGTACTATGTTTGTGTAGAGCATGGTATTTTATGGAGTTGTAATGTGTTCAAACGTTTAGCAACGATGTTTAATATTGAGAGGAGCTGTGGAGTGTTCCTCGGAATGAATTTGAATTGATCATAGACATTAGAATCTTTAATTAGCTAATTCTCTCCCAGAAATGCTAATGAATTTTTTTGTAGAGCACGTTATTGAAAATTAGATGTTAAAATTCAACTTATCCTCAGAAAAAATAACTGAGTCTCTCCTATCCTTGAAACCTCTCCACAGCAATCTACAATGATAATTCATACATGGAAAAAAATCCTGAAAGTTTGAAGATACTTCTAGTAGTTCAGAATACAATTTAAAAGTAGTTTCTGTACAATCTTTAAAGTAGCTACGATTATAAAATACTGCTATGTTATCTCAGTAAAATTCCCAGGAGACATCCCAACGCTTTATTATTTTATGTGCTGTTGCATGATAAAGTAAACTTAGTTTTCCAGGCATTCTTGGGAGACTGTTTTCTAACAGCTTCTTTGGTTGGGAATCAGAAAACAGGACCACTATTTCCATCTCTGCACAACTTGAATCTGCCTTTATAATTTATGTATCCATGTCACCTGCCCCCTCTCCCTATATATGACAGTAGAGTTGAATAATGCAGTAAAATTCAGTGTCTGCTTCCCCACAGATAACTCAAGTTTTTAGACCATGGGTTGATGGAAAACTAGGATGGCAATGGATAGACATGAGTGTTTATTTTGAGAATATAAAGGCAGAAGTGAATTCTAGTAGAAACTCAGAGATTAGGATAAAGTGAAAGAAGAACCAAAAAGTATTAAACACAGACCCTTGTTTAGCACTATGTTAAAGGACTTGGGTAGGTAGAATCAGGGGCTCAGAAAATCCTGTGAGAACTACGGCATCCTATTTCAACCCAATAGTTGCTGATTAAATCTACAATTAACTCTAATGAAACAGAGACACTCATAGATTTCAAATAAATGCATATTTTATTTTCTTTTTTAAAATGGTCTTCTTAAAGTCACATAAAGGAAAGGAAGGGGAGAGAAAAGGCACATATATACCATGGAATAATGAACAGTCTCCTATTTCTATAAATCTGAGAGGCAAAACCTTAGAGACTATTTATAATCATTACAACCACTACAAAGGTCAACTAGCATTGGGTGGTAAGCCTGAGCCAATTTCTTTGTTTTTTCACACTCTGCCATTATGTGAGCTACCATCGAAGGGAACGTTTGATTTTATGGCTCCCATACACTAAGATGGAGCAGGGGCTCTAATGATGTTGAATTTTAGGGATGGGAACCTGGCAAATGTTCCAAAGCATTCCTGCCTCTCCTGTGAGAATGAATCTTCCGGTCAATTAGACAATCAAATCTCAACTTTGTCCATAGACCAGTGATTCCATACAGATAAATGGACCTTGGAGACGTATAATCACAACCTGTAAATTTGAGTTAATAATACCTAATAATAAAGTTTTGTAAACTAAATAAAATGATATGTGTAAAATTATTAAGGTAATGTATATGAAATACACATTGGGTCATATTATTAAGCGTCTAGAAGATAATATTTACATGTATGAGGAAAAGAAAGAGAATGCCCCATCCTAATTATTTTTTCTCAATTTTTCATAATTGCAGTAAAATACACACAAAATATAATTTGCCATCTTAACCACTTTAAATGTACAGTTCAGTTGTATCACATTTAGAACATCGTGCAACCATAACCACCATCTAGCTCTAGAACACTTCATCTCGTAAAACTGAAACTCTGTACCCATTAAACAATTATTCCTCCTTTCCTCCTAACTCCAGCACTAGGAACCCACCATTTACTTTCTATCTCTCCGATTTTGACTATCCAAGTACCTCATATAAGTGGCTCCAAACAGTATTTGCATTATTGTGACTGGCTTATTTTACTTAGCATAATGTTTTCAAGGTTCATTTATTTTGTAGCATGAGTCACAATTCCCTTCCTTTTCAGACTAAATGGTATTTCATTGTATGCATACACCATATCTTGTTTATCCATTCATGCACTGATAAACATGGGTTTCTTGGCCAGGCGCGGTAGCTCACGCCTGTAATCCCAGCACTTTGGGAGGCCGAGGCGGGCGGATCACGAGGTCAGGAGCTCGAGACCATCCTGGCTAACATGGTGAAACCCCGTCTCTACTAAATTAGCTGGGCGAGGTGGCGGGCGCCTGTAGTCCCAGCTACTCGGGAGGCTGAGGCAGGAGAATGGCGTGAACCTGGGAGGCGGAGCTCGCAGTGAGCCGAGATCGCGCCACTGCACTCCAGCCTGGGCGACAGTGAGACTCCGTTCCAAAAAAAAACAAAAACAAAACAAAACAAAAACTTGGGTTTCTTTCACGTTGTTGCTATTGTGAATAATGCTCCTATGAACATGGATGCACAAATATTTCTTCAAGAGTCTATTTTCAATTATTTTGTGTATATACCCAAAGGTGGATTACTAGATCATATCCTAATTTTATTTTTAATTATTTGAGGATCTGCCATACTGTTTTTCACAGTAGCTGTGCCATTTTACATTCTACCAACAGTGCACAGAAGTTCCAGTTACTCTATGCCACATCCTTACCAACACTTGTCATTTTCTGGGTTTTTTTTCTCTTTCAATATAATACCCATCCTAATGGGTATGAGATGGTATCTGATTTTGGTTTTGATTTGCATTTCTCTAAGAATTAGTGATATTGAACGTCTTTTCATGTGTTTATCAGTCATTTGTATATCGTCTTTGGAGAAATGTCTATTAAAGTCTGCCCATTTTTCAATCATTTTGTTGTTGTGGTTAGTTTTAGAAATTCTCTGTATTCTAGATATTAATTCATTCTCAAGTATATAATTTGCAAGTATTTTCTCTCATTCTGTGGGTTGCCTTTTTACTCTGATATTAAAAAATCGAAGAGAAATAAAACATGATTATCTAATTGATACAGAAAAAGCATTTGATAAAATTTAATACATGTTTATCACAAAAACCTTCAGCAAACCAGGAATAGGAGGAAATTACCTCAAAATAATAAAAGTCATATATAAAAACCACAGCAGATATTAAACTCAATGGTGGAAGACTGAAAGCATTTTCTCTAAGATCAGGTGCAAGGCAATGATGCCTGATTGCACCACCTTTTTTCAATATCCTAGCCAGAGCAATTCATAAAGAAAAAGAAATAAAGGACATCCCTGTTGGAAAGAAAGAAGTAAAATTATCTCTGTTTACAGATGATATGATCTTATATATATAAAACCTTAAATATTCCACCAACAAAACTGTTAGAACTAATACATGAATTCAACAAAATAACAGGATACAAAGCCAGCACACAAAAAATTATTTGTATGTCTATAGACTAAATCTGCAAAGGAATTTATAAAAGCAATTCCATTTACAATAGCAGCAAAAGGAATATAACACAGGGATTAACTTAACCAAGGATGTTAACGTTTTGTACAATACAAACTATAAAACATTACTAAAGAAGATATAAATAAATGTAAACACATCTCATGTCCATGGACTGGAAGGCCTAATGATTTAAAAAAAAATTTTTTAAACATTTTTCAATTTAGTAGAAAAAAAAATTTCCAATATTCTAATTCACATAATTACAGAATTAACATATTTCTGAACTAACTTTTAAAAGAAAAATTTACTGTTTTGTTGTTGAAAATGTATAGAAATTTGATATAATTTTATGGAATCCATTGGATTTTTTCAAGAATAATTACTGGCAAAATTTTAAGGCTGAAGGATTAAATAGTACGGTGTTTTAGTGACACAGAGCAATGGCTATTTCTATCATTTCCGTTGATATTAGGTAAGAATATGACTGTGCCAGGAAGAAGGCAAAGCAAACAAACAATCAAAATGTCAGAAGAAAACACAGAAAAGTTATTTTTCCCCCACTTCCCAATATGGGTGTACAGACACACACACAATGGGCGCCTGTGTCTTTTTATCCAGACTCTGGGTTCTTTTCTTCCCCCTCAAAGTTACTTTTCCTTTTCTAAGAAACATGGCTTGTGTTTGCAGCTGAGTGGCCTTGTTCCTTGCTGTAGAAGACTGGATATTCAGAGGTCCCTTTTCCTTCAGAGCTGTCTCTGTGCTTTTTAGTCTAGACTGATACAGTTTCAGCTTTGGATCGCAAAAAGCAACTAATGGGTACTAGGTTTAATACCTGGGTGATGAAATAATCTGTACAAAAAAACCCCATGACATAAGTTTACCTATAAAACAAACATGCACATGTACTGCTGAACTTAAAAGTTAAAGAAAAATCTAATAGATCAGGTGCATTCAGGGTGGTATAGCTGTAGACAATGTACAAAACTCAGCAGCATTTCTACACACCAATAATAATATTCAAGCTAAGAACCAAATGAAGAACTCAATCCCTTTTACAATAGCAACATTTAAAAAATAAAATACCTGGGAATACATCTGGCCAAGCAGGTGAAAGATCTCTACAGGGAGAACTACCAAACGCTCATGAAAGACACGAACAAATGGGAAAACATCTCACACTCATGGATTGGAAGAATCAATATCGCTTAAATGATCCCCCAAAGCAATCTACAGATTCAGTGCAATCCATATAAAATTAGCAACATCATTTTCCACAGAATTAGAAAAAGAGATCCTAAAGTTCAAATGGAACAAAACAAGACCCTGAATAGGCAAAGCAATCCTAAACAAAAGAACAAATCCAGACACATCACATTGCCTGACTTCAAATTATATTATTAGTATAAAGCTACAGTAACTAAAACAGCAGCCTGGGCATGGTGGCTCACCCAGCACTTTGGGAGGCCAAGGTGGGTGGATCACGAGGTCAGGAGATCGAGACCATCCTAGCTAACACAGTGAAACCCCATCTCTACTAAAAATACAAAGAAAAACAAAATCAGCCAGGCGTGGTGGCGGGCGCCTGTAGTCCCAGCTACTGGGGAAGCTGAGGCGGGAGAATGGCGTGAACCCAGGAGGCGGAGCTTGCAGTGAGCCGAGATCATGCCCCTGCACTCCAGCCTGGGCAACAGAGTGAGACTCTGTCTCAAAAAAAAAAAAAACAAAAAACAAAAAACAAACAAACAAAAAACAAAAACCCAGCATGGTACTGGTACAAAAATTGGCACATAGATTAATGGAACAGAATAGAGAACCCAGATATAAAGCCATGTGTCTCAACCAACTCATCTTTGACAAAGTCAACACAAATAAATACTGGGGAAAGGACACCCTATTCAATAAATTGGGCTGGGAAAATCAGTTAGCCATATGCAGAAGAATGAAACTGGACCCTCTATATCTAACCATATAAATAAATTAATTAAATCAAGATCATTTAAAGACTTAAACATAAGACCTGAAACTATAAAAATCCTAGAAGAAAACCTAGGAAAATCTCTTTCAGACAATGGCCTATGCAAAGAATTTATGATGAAGGGCCCAAAAGCAAATGCAACAAAAATAGACAAATGATATTTAATTAAACTAAAAAGTTTCTTCACAGCAAAAGAAATAAGCAACAGAGTAAACAAAGAAACTACAGAATGGGAGAAAATATTTACAAATTATGCCTCTGACAAAGGACTGATATCCAGAATGTATAAGGAACTCAATAAGACATAAAAACAAAACAAAAAATAAACTACCCTATTAAAAGCTGGGCAAAGGACATGAACAGACATTTCTCAAAAGAAGAAATACAAGCAGCCAACAAATGCTGTAATGAGAAAAAAAATGCTCAAAATCACTAATCATCAGAGAAATGAAAATTAAAACTGCAATGAGAGATCATCTTACACCAGTCAGAATGGCTATTAAAAAGTCAACAAATAACAGATGTTGGCATGGATGTGGAGAAAAGGGAATATTTATTCATTGTTGATGGGAATGTAAATTAGTTCATTCTCTATAGAGAACAGTGTGGAGATTTCTCAAATAACTTAAAATAGAACGATAATTCGACCCAGCAATCCCACTAATGGATGTCCACTCAAAGGAAAACAAATTATTATATTAAAAAGACACCTGCACTTGGATGTTTTTCACCATGGGCATCACTATTCTCAAGAGCAAATTCATGGAACCAACCTATGTGTCTATCCACAGTTGACTAGGTAAAGAAAATGTGGTACATATATACCATGGAATATTATGCAGCCATAAAAATGAATGAAATTATGTTTTATGCAGCAACATCGATGGAACTGGAGGCCATTATCCTAAGTAAATTAACCCAGAAACAGAAAACCAAATACTGCATCTTCTCTTATAAGTGGGAGCTAAACGATGGGTACATATGGTCATGAAGACGGAAATAATAGACACTGGGGACACTGGGGAGGGCAAGGATTCAAAAATTACCTATAGGTACAATGTTCACTACTTGGATATCCGGTACGCTAGAAGCCTCATCCCCACCAGTATGCAATAAACACATGTAACAAACAAGCACGTGTATCCTCGAATCTAAAATAAAAGAACAAGAAAAAAGAAATAAAATATTGTGAGCTTTATATGTATCAAATTATAATATATCAGAATAGACAGAGGTACAATCATAAATATCCTGGTTTGTGTATAATTTTAATTTTAGCTCTTTCTCCTTTGTGGATTTAATTTTTTGTATTTCCATAACTCAAAATAGATAACTACAATATCTCTTTGTATAAATGTATCCATTTTATATTATATAATGTCACTCCTTTCTCTATTTTTTCTTATTTCCTGAAGTCCTTTCTCTATTTTTTCTCATTTCCTGAAGTCCTTGTAACTATTAGCTTCATTGTTTATCGCATTATCCTCCCTCTATTTCACTTTGTAAAGAGATGCGATATTCTTCTCTCCACAAGTTTCGTACACAGTATATATCCTTTCCTGTGTTCAGATTTCTTCATACTGGAAATCACATCATTTTAGTTCGTATTTTCTTTATTCTCTGTTGAAGCCTCATAAATACAACATAGTTTATTCAGCTTGTCTTCTCTGTCTAGATATTTAGGCATCCAATATTTGGCAATTAAAATAATGCTAAAATGTTTGCATACAGATTTTGTATCGTTGAGAGTGTATCTTCAGAGTGAATTCCTAGAAGAGTAATTTCTGGGACAAAACACAAATTCACACATAGTTTTGTTAGATAGTGCCAAATTTCCTTCCCCAAGCTGCACTTACTTTCAAATTGTTGCCAATGTGGTGGGTGAGAAATGGTATCTTAATTTAGCTTTAATTTGCATTTGAATATCTCGTAAATTTAAGGTCCATTTTAATATCTCCCTGGTGAATTCTCTGTTCACATCTACAGCTTACTTTTTGCATCTATTGCCTAGTTTTCCATGGAATGTTTAGTACCTTTCTCAATTTTTGTAAGTTATTTTTATGTTAAGGATATCAACCTTTGTCTATGACATACGTTACAAGTATTTTTCTAATTTTTTCTCTTAATTTTTGCTTATAAGGCTTGTACCATGAAAAAGTTATTTTTCTTTTAATTATTTATAGTCAAATTTATCAGTCTTTACTTTTATGAACTCTAGATTTTTGAGTCATACTTACAGAGCTTTTCCTTATTTTCGGGTTATAGAGGAATTGGATTAGAATTGTATAGTTAATTTTTGTATTTGTGTATGGTGTGATGATTAGATCTAATACTGTGAATTTTTCAATAGTTTTGTAATTATTCACTTTAAAGTCTATCTTTGATTTATTAATTAGAGATACCACATTTATTACATAGATTTCCATAGGTTGTTGTGTCTACTTGAATTTCTGTTCTATTTCACTGTATTTCACTGCCTGCCTATTCATTTGTGAGTAACGCAGTTTTCATACAGAAGCTTTGTAATGTTTTCGAGTCTGATAGAGCTAATTCCTTTCACAGTTCTTCCTTTTCAGTATTTCCCTATTTTTATGTGTTTATTTTTCCATACAGATTTTAAAACCAACTTTTCCAGCTCCATAAAACCTTTGTTGGTATTTCCTTTGGAATCACTCAAAATTTATAAATTGCTTGGGGAGAACTAAACTTTTGATGACTTTGAGAGTGCTAAGCAACACAAAGTCAGTGCCTTTTCATTTTTCAAGTTTACATTTTAATCTATAGGGATGTATTTTGTAGTTTTCCTGATTTAGGTTTTCAAAAAGAAAAATTGGATTATCATAACAGCTGATGCTTGAAATTCTCTCAGGGAAAAAGCTCTCTTTTATTTGTAAAGGAATATCTTGATCATTGTGTTGGATAGAAGGGAATAGTGGGTGCCAAAGTATCAAGAATCAGAAAGAAGATGAATTGCATTATAAGCAGAGAAAAATTTTGAATTCTTGGGAATAATCCATAACAAAGTGGAAAGAAAGCAAATTGATAAGCAGAGGACAGCACAGCCCAAAAGGTAGCAGAATGCTTTGCAAGCCATAATGTCAACTCTGTCCCTGTCAGATCTCCTCAGGAAATCTAAAAATCCTCTGAAAGATCTACTAGGGTTACAAGAAAGCACTGGGATTCATTCAAGTTGATAATTGTTAGGGAGAGGGTACACACAGAGAAGCAGCAATGTAGTGATTCAGAATGCAGAATCAGAAGTAACGCTGAGTCAGAAGTCACATGGCGCTTTGCTAAAATCTTGAAAAATGCCTCATATATTATCTAACTGATGGTGGTGGTAGAACTAAATTAATTTTTTTTTTTTGAGATGGAGTTTCGCTCTGCTGCTCAGGCTGGAGTGCAGTGGTGCGATCTCAGTTCACTGCAACCTCCACCTCCCAG
The DNA here is from genome assembly GCF_000001405.40 of Homo sapiens. NCBI lineage: Eukaryota > Metazoa > Chordata > Mammalia > Primates > Hominidae > Homo > Homo sapiens. The sequence goes on along the minus strand of NC_000010.11, from coordinate 107,341,310 downwards.
GTTCAAGCAACTCTCCTGTCTCAGCCTCCTGAATAGCTGGGATTACAGGCACACGCCACAACGCCCAGCTAATTTTTTTGTATTTTTAGTAGAGATAGGGTTTCACCATGTTGGCCAGGCTGGTCTTGAACTCCTGACCTCAAGTGATCCACCCACCTCAACCTCCCAAAGTGCTGGGATTGTAGTGTGAGCCACCGTGCCCGGCCCAGATTAATTTTTAAATTAGTTTCAATTTGTTTTAAATTAGTTTAACCTGGATATTTGGTGACCATGAGGCCCTCTGGGCATCTGGATTACAAGAATAAATAAGAAAGAGACAGTCATAAGTAAGTAATTGTCACACACTAACTTAAAAATAGCCTTAGGATGGTCCTGATGGTTAATTTCAAGTGTCAACTTCACTAGATTAAAGGATACCGAGATATCTAGTAAATCATTATTTTGGGGTATGTTTGTGATGTTCAGACTGGCATTTAAATCAGTAGACTAAGGACGATCTCCCCTCACCCAATGTGGGCAGGCACCATCCAATTGGTGGAGGGCCTGGTAAGATCAAAAAAAGCAGAGGAAATGTAAATTCATACATGCTGTCTCTTCTGGAGCTGAGACACCCATCTTCTGCTTTTGGACATCAGATCTCCAGATTCTTCAGCCTTCAGACCTCAAGACTTGCACAACAGCCCTCCAAATGCTGCGGCTTTTGACCTTGGACTGAGAGTTACACCATTGGCTCTTCTGCAGATTAAGAAATTAAAGTTCAGAAAAACAAAGTAAATTGCCTGAGGTCACACAGCTAGTAAATAACAAAACTGAAAGTTAAAATAGTTGTTTGATTCCAGAGTGCAAGTAACTACACTACTATGCAAATGCATCCCAATCTGTTGCTACATCAGGCTAGATGGAGACTCACAAACTCCAGGAAATAATACATAACTCGAGATGACATTTGAAGAAAGACTATGCAGATTTAAAAATAAAATGCATATGTCACAATGTGAAGTCAAGAGTGGACTGAAAACACCATTCACTTATTCTCTTCTCCTGCCAAAAAATAAAAGAACATCAGCCAAGAAATAAATCACATGTATAAGTGACACTTAGTGTAGCAGACACTTGAACAGCTTCTCTGTTCTAGAATAACCTGATCCACCAGTAAAAGGTAATCAGTTCCTGTCTTTTCTCTTGCCTAGAACAAGAGTTGCTCTTTTTAGAAGAACTTAAAAAAATACATAAAAAATAAAAGGGAAAAAATTATTTCCAACATATTTATAATTTCTGTTGTGTTTGGGAGAAAAAAACAGGTAATTTTTTTTCAAAATTTATCTGAGTTTGCCATTGTTAGCTCTAAAAGCACTGCCACAGGATCTGTTAAAATTGTTTAATTAATTCATGCTGTATAATGTCTCGTTTTTTCAATATAGGCTTATTATGCATTGCCAAGATGCAATAAAAGAAAATTAAAATAACCAAGGAAGCATAATTGATGGCATTTTAGAAGCATGCTTTTAAATAACATTCAGTCACATCAGTGTCATCCAAAGCATTTGGGGGTTAAACATTGTATTATTAATAATGGTTTGGGTAAGATGAATTGTGTTACCAGAGGCAACACAAGTTAAATGCATATTTCACAATGTGAGGAAATGTCTTCCTGGGGAAGAGTATTGAACATTTTTCATCTGTCACCAAATGAATCCTAGAGAGATTAGAGAAGAGGCATTGAGAAGGACTCAGAAGATCTGTAGAGAGGGTGAGTTGGAACCACACCCACTCTCAAATTCAAGTGAACTTTGACTCAAGAGAAGGATAACCACCAGACTACAAGTGGGATGTAAAACCAGGTGTTGCAAGTATCTACCATCCTGCACCTTCAAAGAAGTCCTGTCCGAAAGATCCTGTGGTGGATAAATTAGTTCTCTGCCCATAGGAAAATTCTTTTGGCTCTGGGATTCGCTATAAACATCATGGCTTCATTAGGGCTATGTCTGGATACCTGCTATGTGCAAAATCTTATATCTCCAGGTAGAGATGAACAACACAGAAAAGATGAGAATGGAGTGATATGTGGGTAAGAAACAAAATAATAGGAAGTAAAGAGAATGCACCTTCTTTCAATATTTGCAGAACTAGGAAATGAGGTACACGAGAGGCAGAGAAGAAAACTGAAAGCCGTGGTACAGAAAAGCAGGCACTAGCTCCTTAGAGGACAGCTAGTTGTACTGGGAAAGGGAGCATCTGTTGGATTTAATGTAGGAAGAATCCAGAGTACCTATGCCAGAGAAGTACACAACTGTGAGGTCAGCTCAACCCAAAATGATAGTTTGTGCATGTGTGTTTTTTAATTTTGATATATAATATGATTGAAGGACAGAGCACCATTCGTAAATATACAGTTTAGTGAATTTTTATAAACTAAACCCATCCAGACAAAATATAGAACATTAGTAATACCCAGAAGTTCTGCTCATGCTGTCTTCTAGTCACTATCCCCCAAGGAAATGCACCACTCTGACTTCTAACAGTATACATTAGTAGTGCCTGCTTTGTACTTTATGCAAGTGGAATTCTATTACTTTTTGTGTCTGGTTTCTTTCACTCAACATTGTGTTTGTAAGATACGATTTGTCCCTATTGTAAGATCATTCATGAATTTTATATTCTCATTGCCATAGTGTATTCCATTGTGTGACTAGAACACAATTTTTTTTATCCATTCTACTGTTGGTTAGAATTTATATAGCTTCCAGTTTTGCTTATTAAAAAACCTTCTAGTCAATGTCCTTTTTAAAATGTTTGTACATATTTCTCTTAGATAGAGAACTAAGAGTTGTCTTGTTAGTTCAGAGGGTGTAAATATGTCCAGCTTGAATAGTAGTGCCAATTTTCAAAATAGTTGTACCAAATTACCCTTTCTCTCACTATTATAATATGAGAGTTTTAATATTCTGATTAGAACTTTATATTTCCCATCTTTAATAATTTACTGTTTCTAATGGTTTTGTAATGCTATCTTATAATTTTAATTTGGATTTCTCCATGATAAATGAAGTTGAGCACTTTTCAATTTCACTGGCCATTTGAATATCCTATTTTGTCAAGTGTGTAAACATCTTTTGTGTCCACTTTTCTACTGAAATATTTCTCCATTTTTATTATTGAATTTTAGGGGTTAACAATAAACATGATTACTCTGTCCAATGTACCACAAATATCTTCTTACTCCTTGCATTTCCATCTCCAATATGTGTTTTAATTAGCCAAAGTTCTGAATTTTAATATAGCAAAATGTATTACTTCTTTCATTTCTTAATGTAGTGCTTTGCTTGTCACTCTACAAGAAAATCTAGTCAACTCCAAGGTAATGAAGTTTTTCTCCTTTACTTTCCTTTAACGGTTTCATTTGTCTTTCTGATTCAGGTCTACAACCAATCATCTGGCAATTATATTTATACATGATATGAGGTAGAAATTCAGATTCACTTTTCTCCGATAGGGATATCTAACTTGTATAGCCTAATTATACAAAAGACCATCTTGAGAGTGAAGCCAGATGGTGGAATAGAAGCCTACAGTGTTCTTACCCACGAAGGAATGTCAAATTTTAACAAATATCTGCACACAGGAAAGCACCATCACAAGAAGCAAAAATCAGATGAGCAATCACAATACCTGGTTTTGACTTCATCTCCTTGAGAGATACATTGAGGAGGGTCAGAGACAGTCTTGGATAGCAGATGCCACTCTTTCCCTGAACAACACAGTCTCTGCCCCCACCTCCCAGCAGCCAGAGAGAATCTGTGCACTTGGAGGAGGGAGATCACAGTGACTGGGGGACATTACATTGAATTCAGTGCTGCCCTGTCACAGCAGAGAGCAAAGCTGTGCTGGGCTCAGTCAGTGCCGGTACAGACAGGGAGCATTTGGATCAGACCTATCCAGAGGGGAATCACCCATCCTATCAGTTATAACTATAGCTTCTCAGCAAGCCTCGGCACCACAGGCCAAAGTGCTCTGAAGTCCCAGGTAAACTTGAAAGGCAGTCTAGAACACATAAAGACTGCAGATCCTCAGAGCCAGAGGACTAAGGTGGCACATGAGCTAGGTAGACACAAGCCAGGGCAGCTAAAGAAGTGCTTGCATCGTGCCTCCCCCAAACCCAGAGAGTGCAGCTTGCGGTCTGGAAAATGTCTCTTACCTTCTGCGTAAGTGGTGGAGAGCAAAGAATAAAGAGGACTTTCTCTTGCATCTTGGAAATCAGCTCAGCCACAGTAGGATAGGGCGCCAAAGTTATGAGGCCCCCTTTCCAGGCTCTAGCTCCCAGACATTTCTAGAAACACCCTGGCCTGAAGGGGAACCCACTGCCTTGAAGGAGGAAACCAGTCCTGACAGGATTTATCACCTGCTGACTAAAGAGCCCTTGGGCCCTGAATAACCAGCAGTGATGTTCAGGTGGTATGCCGTGGGCCTGGGGCTCTGAGATGTGCTGACTATCTGTGTGGCCCAGCACATTCCTAGCTGCGGTGGCTACAGTAAAAGACTCCTTCTGTTTAAGAAAAGCAGACAAGAAAGTAAAGGGGACTTTGTCTTGCACCTTTGGTTCTAGCACATCCAGAACAGGGTAGAGCAACAAGCAGGCTCTTGGGTCCCCGATTCCAGGCCTAGCCTCTGGGTCAGCATTTCTGGACCTGCCATGGACCAGAGGGGAGCCCACTGCCCTGAAGGGTGAGTTCCAGGCCTGGCAGAATTCAACCAAGCTGACTGAAGAGCCCTTGGGCTTTAAGTGAAAATCTGCAGTAGACTAGCAGAAACCCACCATGGGCCAGTGGTGATGGGACCCACAGGGAGAGAGAGGATCGTCTGCCTGTGCACAGGAGAGGGAAGAGCAGGAAGGACTTCATGTTGTGGTTTGGGTGCCAGCTGAGGCACAGTAGACTAGAACATTAAGCACATTTCCAAGATTTTTTCACTCCGATCTCTGGCTCCCAGACAGCATCTCTGGACCCACCTGGAGCCTGAAAGAACTTGCTGCCCTGAAGCGAAGGACACAAACCTGGCTGGTTTTGCCACCTGCTGGTTGTAGAGCCCTAGGGCCTTGAGTGAACATAGGTAGTAGCCAGGTAGCGGTTACAATGAACAAGACCCAGTGCTGTACTGGCTTCAGGTCTGACCCAGTGTAGTCCCAGTAGTTGTGGCCACAGGAGTGCTTGCACGACCACACCCCCAGTTCCAGGTGGCTTAGCACAGAGAGAGAGAGAGAGAGACTGTTTGGAAGAAAGTAAGGGAAAAGAAGAGTCTCTGCCTTGTAAAGAGAATTATTCCAGATCTTATCCAAGATCACCAAGGTGATACCTCTATGAGTCTGTAAAAACCCAGTGATATTGGACTTGGAGCTCAGGTCCCTTCAAAAGTCCCTGGAAATCCTTCTCAAGGAGGATAGGCACAAACAAGCCCAGACTTTGAAGACTACAATACCTAACTCTACAATGCCCAGGCACAGACCTGGAACATTCTCCAGAATAGACCATATCTTAGACCACAAAAGAAGTTTCAAAAAATACAAAAAAGTAGCAGTCATATCAAGTATCTTTTCTGGAATAAATCTAGAAATCAATAAGAGGAAGAACCTCAGAAACTACACTGATGCATGTACTCCTGAATAATCAATGGGTCAATAAAGAAATTAAAAAGAAAATTTAAAAATTTCTTGAAACAAATGAAAATGAAAATACAACATATCCAAATTTTGGGGTTACAACCAAAGCAGTATTAAGAGATACTGTTAAATGCTAAGAAGCACATACTAATGATTATATCAAAAAAGTAGAGTTCTTAAGTAAACAACGTAAGAGTTTCTTGAAACGTGGTTTTCAAGAAACTAGAAAAATAAGAACAAACCAAACCCCAAATTAGCAGAAGGAAATAATAAAAATCAATGCAGAAATATATGAAATTGAGACTAAAAATAAGTACAGAAAATCAACCAAAAGAAAAGTTGTTTTTTAGAAAAGATAAAATCTGCACATCTTAGCTAGACAAAGAAGAAGATCTAAATGAATAAAATCAAAAATAAAAAAGGAGAGACAACAACTATGATTATATAAATACAAAGAATCATTAGAGTCTATTATGTGCAACTTTACACCAACAAATTTAAAAATTCAGAAGAAATAGATAAATTATTGGACATATGCAACCTACCAAGTTTAAGCCATGAAGAAATAGAAAATATCAACAAACCAACAATGAGTAAAGAGATTGCAACCATAATAAAAAGTCTCCCATCAAAGAAAAGCCCAGGACCTGTTGACTTCGCTGCTGAATTCTACCACATATTTAAGAAGCTAATATCAATTCTAGCCAAACACTTCAAAAAAAAAAAATGAAGAGCAGAAAATACTTCCAATCTCATTCTATGAATCCAAATGTACCCTAACACAAAACCAGACAGAACACAACAACAAAAAAACTACAGACCAATATCACTGATGAACATAAATGCAAAAATCCTTAACAAAATGCTAGCAAACTGAATTCAACAACACATTTAAAAAGTCATTCACCATAATCAAGTGAGATTCATCCCAAGGACACAAAGATGGTTCAACATATGCAAATCAATAAATGTGGTACATCACATTAACAGAACCAAAAACAAAAACCATACGATCATTTCAATAGATGCTGAAACAGCATTCAGTAAAATCCAACATCAGTCCATGATAAAAAGACTTAGCAAACTGGCTATAGAAGGAACATACCTCAAAATAATTAAGACCATATATAACAAGAAACATGGTACTGAATGGGGAAAAACTGAAACCCTTTTTTTTTTTCCCAGTTCTTAGAATCTGGAATATTAAAAGGATTCCCACTTTCACCACTATTATTTAACATAAAAGTTGAATTCCTGACCAGGACCATTAGGCAAGAGAAAGAAATAAACAACATCTAAACTGGAAAGGAATAAATCAAATTAACCTTGTTCACAGATGTCGTGATGTTCTACTCAGAAAAGGGAAAGATATATACACAGAAAACTATAAACACTCATTAAAGAAATTGAAGAAGACACGAACAAATGGAAAAGATATTCTATGCTTATGGACTGGAAGAATCAATATTGTTAAAATGGCAATACTACCCAAAGCAATTTACAAGATTCAGTGTAATTGAATAGTAAAATACCAATGACATTCTTCATAGAAGTAGAAAAAATACCCTAAAATTTACATGGAACCACAAAAGACCCTGAATGGCCAAAATAATCCTGAGCTAAAAGAACAAAGCTGGAGGCATCACACTAACTCACTTCAAAATATATTGCAAAGAAATAGTAATCAAATCAGCATGATACTGGCATAAAAACAGACACAAAGACCAATGCAACCATATAGAGAACCCAGATGTAAGTCCACACATTTACAGCCAATTCATCTTTGACAGAGATGGTAAGAACATATACTAGGGAAAGGGAAATCTCTTCAATAAATGGTGCTGGGAAAATTGGATAACCATATGCGGAAGAATGAAACAAGGCCTCTGCCTCTTAGCATATAGAAAAAAACAAATAAAAATGGATTAAAGACTTAAATCTAAGACCTGAAATTATAAAACCACTAAAAGAAAACATTGGGGAAATACTCCCGTATATTGGTCTGGGTATAGATATTTTTGCGTAAGATCTCAAAAGCACAGGCAACAAAAGCAAAAAATAGACAACTAGGATTATGTCAAGCTAAACATCTTCTGTACAGTAAAGTAAACAGTCAACAAAGTGAAGACAATCAACAACCCACAGAATGGGAGAAAATATTTGCAATCTATTGTAAAGAATTGACCAGAATACATAAGGAGCTCAAACGACTTAATGGCAAAAAAAAAAAAAAAAAAAAATCCACAAATAATTTGATTTAAAAAATGGGCAAAAGGCTTGAATAGATGGCCAAGGTGCAGTGGTTCATGCCTGTAATCCCAGCACTTTGGGAGGCCGAGGCAGGTGGATCACCTGTGGTCAGGAGTTTGAGACCAGCCTGACCAACATGAGGAAACCCAGTCTCTACTAAAAATAGAAAAATTAGCTGTGCATGGTGGTGCACGCCTGTAATCCCAACTACTAGGGAGGCTGAGGCAGGAGAATCGCTTGAACCCAGGAGGCAGAGGTTGCAGTGAGCCAAGACTGTACCACTGCACTCCAGCCTGGGCAACAGTGCCAGACTCTGTCTCAAAAAAAAAAAAAAAAAAAAAAAGCCTTGAGTAGCTGTTTCTCAAAAGTTAGTGGGTTCAGCGCACCAGCATGGCACATGTATACATATGTAACTAACCTGCACAATGTGCCCATGTACCCTAAAACTTAAAGTATAATAAAAATAAAATAAAATAAAAATGAAAAAAAAAGAAAACATACAAATGGTCAAATGGTCAAGAGATATATGAAAAAATGCTCAACATCACTAATCATCAGAAAAAATCAAATCAAACCCTCAATGAGATATCATCTCACCCAAGTTAAAATGGCCTTTATCAAGAAGACAGTGGATAAGGATGCTGGTGAAGATGCAGAGGAAGGGGAAGACTTGTACAATACACTGTTGATGGAAATGTAAAATTAGTACAGCCACTGTAGAAAACAGTATGGAGATTCTTCAAAACAGTAAAAATGAGACTACCATATAATCCAGCAATTCTACAACTGAGTATATATTCAAAAGAAATAAAATCAATATATTGAAGGGATATCTGCGTCCTATGTTTATTGCAGCATTAGTTACAATAGCCAAGACAACAAATCAACCACAGTGTCTAGCAGTCAATGAATGGATAAGATGAATGTTGTATATATACACAATTTAATATTATTCTGCTATAAAAAAAGAGTGAAATCTTGTCATTTGCAGCAACACAGTTGGAACTGGAGGTCATTATATTAAGTAAAATACATCAAGCACAGAAAGACAAATGTTGCCTGTTCTCACTCATATGTAGGAGTTTAAAAAGGTAGATCTCACAGAGATGCATACTGGTGGTTACTAGAGGCCAAGAAAAGTAGTGGGGAGGGTAGTTACCAGACATGGGGAAGGGAAGGAGGAAGGGAGAGAGATTGATTAATGGTAAAAGTATATAGTTTGATAGAAGAAGTAAGACCTAGCACTTGATATATCAGTAGAATGACAACAGTTTACAATAATCTATTGTAGATTTCAAAATAACTAAAAGAGAATAATATGACTGTTTCTAGCATAAAGAAAACACAAATATTTAAGGTGACCTATATTCCAATTATTATCATTTGATCTTTGCAAATTAGGTAAATGTATTCAGTTATCACAGGTAACCCCCAAATATCTACATACTTAAAAATAATTTTTTTAGGCCAGGCGTGGTGGCTCACACCTATAATCCTAGCACTTTGGGAGGCTGAGGCAGGCAGATCACCTGAGGTCAGGAATTCAAGACCAACCTGACCAACATGGAGGAACCCCATCTCTACTAAAAAATAAAATTAGCCAGGCGTGGTGGTACATGCCTGTAATTCCAGCTACTAGGGAGGTTGAGGCAGGAGAATCACTTGAACCTGGGAGGCAGAGGTTGCAGTGAGCTGAGATCGCACCATTGCACTCCAGCCTGGGTAACAAGAGCAAAACTCCATCTCAAAAAATAATAATAATAATAATTTTTTAATTAAAAAATTAACACAAACATAAAAATTAAGCAAATCTCTTGTAATAAGTAAATGACAGAGAAGAGACAAATCTCCTATGCAGAATTCCAAATAATTTATATACATATTCTGTTCTCAAAGAGGCGGAGCACAACGCCCCACTCTTTAAGTGTGGTTTGTGCATATTGACCTTCTTCCAAAGAATCAGCATGGAAAGAGGGGAGGAGAAAGGGAGAGAAACTTACAGTGGAGACGTCTGACAAGCAAAACCTCAGCCTGATGATCAAGGTCAACATCAACAGTAATAAGCTATATTAATAATATATCTCTTTGATATAATGTGATGAAGGTATCATTTTATCTCTAGGTTCTTTGTATTCCCCAAACCCATAATCCCAGTCTAAATATGAGAAAAGTATCATGCAATTCTCAATTAGGAGATATTCTACAGAATACCTGACCAGTATTTCTCGAAATTTTCAAAGTCCCCAAAAACAAGAGAAGTCCAAGAAACTGTTGCAGCCCAAAGAATCCTAATTCAGAAATAGAAAATCAAATACCACATATTCTAACTTGTAAGTGGGAGCTAAACAATGGGTACACATGGATGTAAAGATGGAAATTATAGACAACTGAGGACTCCAAAAGGGAAAAGGGTGGGATGGGGATGAGGGTTTAAAAAATTACCTATGGTGTACAATGTTCATTATTTAGGTAATAAGCACACTAGAATCCTCACCAATACACAAACTACCCCTATAACACACCTGCACATGTACCCCTGAAAGTGAAATAAAAGTTTTTTAAAAGTATGAGTAATGCATCTGCAAAGGCCATGACTGGGCATCATCCTAAGGAAATAGTTAAAGTTTAAAGACAAAAGTTGAGAAAAAAAAGAAGTGACAAGCAAATGTAGTATAAAGAGGTATGCTGGGTGGGATTCTACGACAGAAAAAGTAAAGTGGATCAAAAAAAGTAAATCTTAATAAGGTGTGAACTTAAGTTAATGAAATTATTTCAATATTTGCTCATTAATTGTAACAAATGTGCTGGCCAGGCGAGGTGGTTCACACCTGTAATCCCAGCACTTTGGGAGGCTGAGGCGGGCGGATCATGAAGTCGGGAGATAAAGACCATCCTGGCTAACATGGTGAAACCCCATCTCTACTAAAAAAATACGAAAAATTAGCTGGGCGTGGTGGAGGGCGCCTGGAGTCCCAGCTACTTGGGAAGCTGAGGCAGGAGAATGGCGTGAACCCGGGAGTCAGAGCTTGCAGTGAGCCGAGATCGCGCCACTGCACTCCAGCCTGGGCGACGAGAGAGACTCCGTCTCAAAAAAAAAACCAACACCAAAAAAAAAAAACACAAATGTGCCATACTAACAAGTTGTCAATAACAATAGAGAAAGCTAGAGGGTGGGGAGAGGTATATGAGAACTATCCGTGTTATCCTCACTTTTTTTTATAAATCTAAAAGCGTTCTAAAATAAAAATTTTATTTCAAAATGAAGATCAGCATCTTTTTATTGTTTATTTGTATCATTTTTCTTTGTTTTTCTTTGTTTATAGAATACTAAATAAAATACATTCTATGTTTCTATAATGACCTTGAATCCAGGGACCTCATTTAATTCACTTATTAAGTACAATCTTTTTTTTTTAAGATTTGTTTTTGGATTTCTTGGTACAAAAATAAGATCATTTGAGGATGATACTTGTATTTTCTCTATTCCCATTCATATGACTTCTCTTTAATTTGTTTGTCATATGACATTGGTTAGGACATCCAGTACAGTCTGTAATTTCCTTTCCTGTAATGTCCTCGTCAGATTTCGGAATCAAAATTATGCTGGCTTCAGAAAAAGACAGAACTTGCCCTGCCTTTTTTATTCCTTGGAAGTGTTTGTTAAGATTGATGACAGCCTTTTCTTAAATATTTTGGGGAAAAAATAACGAGTGAATTCATATGGGTTTGGTTTTTTTCTGCTGCAAGTTTACTTTTTAATAATACTCTTCAATTCATTAACAGATATAAAAATCTTCAAAGTTCTATTTATTTTACTGTCAGATTTGGCCAGTTCTATTTTTAAAGTATTTTGTTTGCTACACTCAATATTTTTAAAATATTGGCATAATATTTTCACAATTGTAATTTTTATAATTTTTTCACAAAATTTTAATTTTTTTATGCCTGTAGGATTTATATCAATGCTCCTTTCTTTCCAGTCTGGAAGAATGAGAGAGCAATAGCAGATTAACATATTAGAAAATATAAATGTAAATATAAAATGATCTACAGCCATGACAATAGCAAAATCTTTAGTCTAATAAACATAAGTAGAATGCATAATGATAGAAAAATGCAAGAGGGCTAATATATTTGTAACTTGGTAAGGTTCTAAAATCGGGACATGGCAAAAATATAAAATATAGACTACATTAAAGATGACCTTTTAAAAAATTTCCAGGTAAACCACTCCAGAACTAGTAAATAGGGAATAAATACTATACAAGACAATAAAAATTACAAATTAATGATCAGTGCAAAAGAAGGTGACAAATTAATAGCAAAATAAAATATTTTAAAAATAGCAAGATGACATACACAATAACAAACATGTCATCCTTTACCTTACATGTGAATGAAATAAGAACTTTAAGAAAAAGGTTTTCAGACTGGAAAAACATCTATGCATTGTATAAGTAAACAAACTTAAAAATTAAGAAAACAGAAATTAAAAGAATGGAAAAATCAGATACCAATCAAAAGTCAACAAAAAAGAAATACGGTGTAATTATACTAATCTCAGGCAAAAAATGTTTTTATAAAAAGATGTGTTAAAAGCCAAAAACAGGGAGATTCATGAGAGAAAAGGTCACTCTAACAAGAAGATATTACAATTATAAATTTGTATGCACATAATAACACTATATCTATACCTATTAGACTGAATTTAAAAAATTAAACTCCATAAAATATACTGTTAAATAAATTTGGCTGGGTGTGGTGCCTCATCCCAGCATTTGGGAGGCTGAGGTGGGTGGATTACCTGAGGTCAGGAGTTTGAGACCAGCCTGGCCAATATGGTGAAATCCCATCTCTACTAAAAATACGAAAAACTAGCTGGGCGTGGTGGTGGGTGCCTGTTATTTCAGCTACTTGGGAGGCTGAGGGAGGAGAATTGCTTGAACCCAGGAGGCAGAGGCTACAGTGAGCCAAGACTGCACCACTGCACTCCAGCTGGGCAACAAGAGCAGAGTGAAACTCTGTCTCAATAAATGAATGAATGAATGAATGAATGAATGAATATAAAGATGCCCACAGACTGTGGGAAGATATTTGCACATAACATATATGTACACACGATTATATAAATAAATTGTAATCAGACTATACAAACAACTCGAAACTTAATAAATAATAAGACTACGGAGAACTAAATTAAAAAATACAAAAATTTGAACAGACACTTTGCCAAATATGCTATATGCATAGCAAACACACACAAGAAAAAGCCACAATTTCATTAGTCACTAGTAAAATGCAAATGAAAACCATAACATATTTCTATCACATAATTATTATGATAGCTAAAATCAAAGACTTAATATACCGAGTGTTGTCAATGACGTTATGAAACTGGATCCCTCATACATTTCCAGAAGGAAAATAAAATGATATAAATAACTTGAACAACTTTGAAAGATTATTAAAAACTTACACATGCATCTATCATACAATAAAGCTATTCAACCTGTATATTTACTCTTGAAAAATTAAAGAATATGTCCATAAAAAGACTAATACACCAATATTTATAGCCACTTTATTTGTAGTAGCCCAAACTGGAAGTAAACTAATATCTATCAAGAGGTGAACAGGTGAAATGTTCTGTTATATCTGTGCAACACAGTGAACAATATAAGGAAATGAGCAACATACAGAGAAATATAAATAAATGAATTAATTATACACAGCAACATTGATGAATCTCAAAATAATGATGCTCTGTAGAAAAATAAGACAAAAAAAGAGTACATGTTTTATAATCAGATTTCTATAAAATTCTGGCAATGACAATCAATAAAATTCTAAAGCTTACCCTATAGCGCATAATGAAAGACTGAATATTGTTTTCATAACTTTATGAACATAGCAAGAATGCACTCCACTATCACTTCTATTCTGAAGGTCCCAGGCATTAGAATAAAGCAAGAAAAAGGAATAAAAGCATAATAATTTGGAATGGAAAAAATAAATATTTCTCTACCTGCAGGTAACTTGAGTGTTTACATAGATAATACTAATGAATATACAAAATCTATTGATTTAGCATTTGTAATATATAAGTTAATGATTAAAAATTTATTTTTTTATTTATTATTATTATACTTTAAGTTTTAGGGTACATGTGCACAATGTGCAGGTTAGTTACATATGTATACATGTGCCATGCTGTTGTGCTGCACCCACTAACTCGTCATCTAGCATTAGGTATATCTCCCAGTGCTATCCCTCCCCCCTCCCCCCACCCCACAACAGTCCCCAGAGTGTGATGTTCCCCTTCCTGTGTCCATGTGATCTCATTGTTCAGTTCCCACCTATGAGTGAGAATATGCGGTGTTTGGTTTTTTGTTCTTGCGATAGTTTACTGAGAATGATGATTTCCAATTTCATCCATGTCCCTACAAAGGACATGAACTCATCATTTTTTATGGCTGCATAGTATTCCATGGTGTACATGTGCCACATTTTCTTAATCCAGTCTATCATTGTTGGACATTTGGGTTGGTTCCAAGTCTTTGCTATTGTGAATAGTGCCGCAATAAACATACGTGCACATGTGCCTTTATAGCAGCATGATTTATAGTCCTTTGGTTATATACCCAGTAATGGGATGGCTGGGTCAAATGGTATTTCTAGTTCTAGATCCCTGAGGAATCGCCACACTGACTTCCACAAGGCTTGAACTAGTTTACAGTCCCACCAACAGTGTAAAAGTGTTCCTATTTCTCCACATCCTCTCCAGCACCTGTTGTTTCCTGACTTTAATGATTGATTGGAACTGCAAGTCAAAAAACTAAAATTCAATGTATGATAGTGTATAAAACAAAAAGCTTAAGAATAAATTTAAAGTTTTCAATAGGTTTTTACACAGGAAACTATAAAAGATTGCTGATTGAAAATTTAAAAGGTCTAAATAAATGAAGAGATAGACTGTGTTCATGGATTAGAAGAGTCAATATTTTAAGGTTTTAATTATCCCTAAATTGATCTATAAACAAAAAAATCCCAATCATGATGTTAGCAGAAGTTTTATAGAATTTGGCAAACTCAAAATTGTATAAGGAAATACATAGAGCCCAGATTGTGTAAAGTAAACTTGGAGAAATAGCAAAGTGTGAGGACGTCAACACTTGATATACAACTACCATAATCAAGATATGCTGAATACTGGAATATAAATTGATAATAGATAAATAGAACAGAATATATAGTCCAGAAATGGACCTACACTTAATAGAGCACTTTCCTTTTTTACAAAGTTGCCAAATAGAAATGGAATGAAAAGCATTTTTAGAAATGGTGCAATATATCTACATGAAAAAACATGAAACTCATCCCTGTTTCACATGATATAAAAAATCATCAGACCTAAAGGTAACATCATAAGCATTTAAAACAACAAACAAACAAACAAAAATCTCTATGACTTGAGGTTTAATAATAGGCTTTTGAGACTGGTTACAAAAATAAATAACTATAAAATAAAATTATGTTACACACAATTAAAATACAACCTAAAGATAATAAATAGCTAAGCTAATTATTTAGAGAAAATATTTGCAAAGCATGTATGACAAAGGACTAGTGTCCAAGATATAAAAATTATTTAAACATCCATAAAATAAGTTCAAGCCAATATTACATTAATACCAATCTATTATATGGGCAAAAGAATCAAACACTTCATAAAATAAGTTATGTAATGGCCAATAAGCACATTAAAATGTGGTCTATATCATTAGTCATTAGGACACTACAAATTAAAGCTACAACAAGCTGACACTACATGCCCCCTCCCACCTCAGAATGACTAAAATGTAAAAATCTGACAATACCAAGTGTCAGCAAGGATGTGGAACAACTAAATCTTCATACATTGTAAAAGAAAATGTAAAATGGTACTACCACTTTCAAAATTTTCCTAGTCGTTTTTAAAATAAGACTCAACATATATTTCCTGTGTGATTCCTAGATGATTACTTACAATCAATAGAAACATATGTTCATAGAAATAATTGTAAAGAATTGTGAAAGAATCTTCATTTTACCTTTAATTACAAAAGCCTCAAACTGGAAACAACTCAGGTGGTAATGTTCTACAATTTGGTAGGAATTTGGGTTACATATCTATATGCATTCACCAAAGCTCAGTTAAATATAGACTGAAGGTTTGTGTACTTTCCTTTATGTAATGTTACATCAAAGGAAAAAAAATTGAAAATTAAATACTAGTTAATTTCATAAGTAACATAACATTTATAGGGGTACAGATGTCTACAGTGTGTTTTTAAATGTATGAAAAATAAGATTTATTAGTTATTGGGATAAAGATGATATATAGGGAGGAAGGATGGAAAAAAGAAAGGGAAGAAAAAAGATGGAGTGGGGAAGGAAGGAATATTATCAGATAAATATAGTGAAATATTAATAGTAAAATATAGAGGGTGAGTAGTGTTTTTTACCATAAAATTTTCTGATCATTGCTATATGTTTCAAAATAATTATATTAAAATGTTGGAAAATTACAACGGCAATTAGAAGAGAAATTTACAGTCAAAATTCAAATTTAAAAAAAAGAATACTGAAGACCTCAGGTTCCAATTATGAACAGGAGCAAAAGAAATGCAAATTAAAACCAAAGAAAGTAGAAAAAAATTGAAATAGAAATAAATAAAAGAGATATAATAGATATAATAAAATTAATTTTAAAGGGAGATTCAATAGCTAAAGCTAAAGATTAGTTCTTTGAAGGGATTAAAGTAATTTAAAAAAAACTATAAATCCTGATCAAGAAAAAATTGGGGGAAAGGGGAAGAGAGAGAGAGAGAGACAGAGAAATAGGTAACTAGAACAACTATATGGTCTATAAAGTCTACGTTTTGCCTTTTCAATTTCTGAATAATGTACTTAGATAAATGAAAGTTCTGAAATTCAATAAAGCCTATTAAGAACATCTGTCTATCAAAGTACAACATTCTCTAGGCCAAATACTTGTCAAATACTTATATTTGACAACAGAATTTGATTCGTCTATATTCAGAATAGAAAAATAATTGTCAAATATCAACAACAGAAAAAAATAAGTAAAACATAGAGAATAACCAAATGACTAATAACCATATCAAAATTTGCTCAACGTCATTACTCATCATGGAAATGCAAATATTAGCATAATGTGATAACACCACAAACCATCAGGTAAGTAAAATAAAGAACATAGTGCCAATGCTAGGAGAAATAATAGCAACTGGAACCTTCAATTATTGCTGGGAGTGTGAATTACTTCAATTACTTGGGAAAGCTATTTTGTAATTTATAAAAGGTAAATATATACCTGTGTTTGAGTTCCAGTCTTAGGAACATACCCAAGAGAAACTCTACATAAATCCCACAAAATATGAGTATAACATTATCTACAATAGCCAGAATCTAGAAATATTACAAATGTCTATTAACAGCAGAATGAGTAAATCATTGTATATTCATTAAAAAAACAAATTATAACAAACAAATTATTGATACACATAACATGAATGACATTCACAAACTTTAGTAAAAGATGCCAGAAACAAAAATAGTACAACATACCAATGTGCTTACATGATACTCAGAAACAGGTTAAAATAATCTACATGTTAGAAGGTTTAATTCAAGACCACCTCTGTGGGAATATTGACTTGAAATGAATACGAGGGGATTTTCCAGGGTTCTGGATATAGGGTATATCTTGATGTTTTAGATTTAACTAGGTGATTACATGTGAAGAATTCAACAAGCTGTGCATATAAGATTCATGTGGTATAAATTCACTTATACTTAATTAAGTGAATGAATAAAGCAACATCTGCCGTGCTACCTGGTCTTGTATATGTTAAGCACCTGACCATAGCATGTCACGTGAATACATTATTGGAGCTGTCCATCACGTGCTAAATATTATGACATCCATTTCACTGTGAAGGAGGTGCAAGATAATGCAAATGACCAGGGAATCTACTCATACTCCCATATACTGTATCTCTCAGACATTACCAGTTACGAGAATCTAGAAATGACCTTGTAAAGCATATCTAAGGCACTAGAGGGAATCGTTCTCTGAGGTGTTAAGGTGCTGCTCTTTAAAAACTTGTTTTATACCTTGAAACAACAGCCACTGTATGAGGTAATTTGTCTAGTAGGGAAAACATGTGAGTGAGAAACCTGAATGTGGAATTAGGAATGGATTCACCATCATGCCCAGTGATACACTTGGGGACTTCGTTCTGCTGTATTAAAAATCTGGTGGTGTGTGCCTGTAGTCCCAGCTACATGGGAGGCTGAGGCAGGAGAATCGCTTGAACCTGGGAGGTGGAGGTTGTGGTGAGCCGAGATTGCACCACTGCACTCCAGCCTGCGCAACAGAGCGAGACTCTGTCTCAAAAAAAAATTTAAAAAAAAAAATCTGTTTTTCCAAGGTGAGAATGCTTCTGCTGAGAGACAAAATAAAAGTTCTATTAAACCTAAGAATATAGATGTTACTGGCCATTTGGTCTCTTATTGCCATTATATTAGCTGGCAAAGAAAGGAGTTTCTATTCTGGTAAGGGTAATCCTCCTAATTATCATGAGGAGACCTGGTTGCTGCTACACAATGAGAAGGAAGATTCAAGTCTGTAATTTAAGGTATTCACTTGGGTATATTTTTTACTTCTGTCCTCAGTAATAACCACAAATGGGCAACTACAACAACCTTAACCTAACAAGGTCATAATAAATAGACCATACCTCATAGGGATACAGGTCTGGTTTAGGCTACAGGCTAATCAATCTAGAGTAGCCAAAGTGCTGTGCAAGTTTGAAGGGGGTTTTAGAATGGTTGGTAAAAAAGAAAGATCTTGTACAGCAGTAGATGTTTTAGTAACAATGGCAGCGGTAAAAACTATAGTTCTACCTCTGTCTCTCTCATTCTGTCTCATCGGTGACAGGACAAAGTAAACCTAACACATCCCTGAGA
This sequence comes from Homo sapiens, assembly GCF_000001405.40. NCBI lineage: Eukaryota > Metazoa > Chordata > Mammalia > Primates > Hominidae > Homo > Homo sapiens. The sequence continues at coordinate 107,322,373 of NC_000010.11, read as the reverse complement.
TACATGGCCTAGGAGGTGGACTGTAATAGAGTCTGTGATGCCTAGCATATACGCTGTCTATACCCCACTGTCTTCCAACTACAATCACACGCTTCTCTTTATCTGAAGTGTTCTTTGATCACTTCTGCTTGGTCTGCTACATGTTCAGTATGCTGGCCGCTCTAGAGAGTCAGTACCACCTGGGAATAACCTTCAATAAAGGACTAATTAGTACTAATATACAAATGCATATCCTTTTTCATTCTTTGGGTGAAATAACTCTGAAACATATATCATTCTGGCTTCAAGAGTTCTCCAGAAGGATTAAGCCTTGTACACCGAACAGTGCTTTACTTGACAATGCATCCTCTATTGACTCCCTCCTCTTACTAATCAATATTTCTCCCCATTTTTTCCTCTAGTATGTCTTAGAATCACCCCCCAAATAAAATCCCTATGTCAACATTGGCTTTTGAAAGAACACTAAACAGTGCAATATGCAATATTCCTCATTATCCATTTTGAGAACAAGAAAAGACTATTTGCCAGTAAAATAGCTTATCTTACCTTTTGGGGAAAATAGTTATTTTTTAACAAAAATACATTGCCTTAAGGAGACAGGAACTAACGCCCCAGCTATAGTTACTGGGTGAACTTGGAAAAGTCACATAACCTCTCTACATCTCATTTTCTTTCACTATAAAATGAACTCTTAATGATTCAACATTGGCATTTTCTAATTCAAATATTTGCATTATTCTATAAAGGACTGAGATGTGTGTTTTTTGCTCCCTCCCTCTTTCTTCCCTTCCTCCCAGGCATGGCCTCTGTACCACATCATTTTCAAATGTATTATTCAAATTATATTTTTGTCTAGTTACTATGGTGATCAGTGCAACTCAAATCCTTAGATAGGAGTGCTGAATTTTTCTCTCATCAAAAATAATACTTATTGTTCCTGCTGCATCTTTTGAGGAGCAGAGAAACCTAAGAGCTGGTTGCTGAAGGTACTTGAGAATCTGAATCTGAATGCTGAAATCTTCTGCAGCAGGGGAAATAGAGGCATAGAAGAAGAATTTCAAGGTAGTAGCATCCTTAATAATTGGAAAGTAACATTGTACAGAGGATCAGGGATTCTATGTGACTGTGGAGGAATTTATCTCTCGCTTAATTTCAGCAATAAACCAATTAACTAGGTAGTAAGTTTTGGCTTTTGGAAGATACCAACAAGCTTCAAAGCTGCAATGAACTTTCAGACTAGTTAGTTCTTCATAAGCACGGTTATTGTTTCTTTAATGTCAAATAATACATACACATGACATTACCTCTACCAATTCTCCCACCCTAGTCTGCAATACCTTCCCTTAAAACTTCACAGTGGAAATGGAACCCCTTACACTTCCTCGAAATGAGGAGTTATTCTGAAGTTACAAATGGCAGCCCTTGAGCTAGATATGGGCCACAGAAGGAGTGATCCTATAATGAAGGCGACCAATTGTCCTAGTTTGCCTGGGATACATGACTTTTAATTTTAAAACTGGGATAGTCCCAGGCAAATCAGAATGAGTTTGTTACTCTAAAATTTTTCTTTGAATTTCACAATATTTAAATATGTGTATTTTTGAATCAATAACCTGCATGTAAAAATCAAAAAGTTCCACACAGTTATTCAGAATTTTAATTTCTCTTGCAAAAATCATACCTGACAACATTGGATCATCAAAGGCTCACAGCAGTGAAGATGGGCATAGTAACCGTTTGCTTTGGAGATGGGGCCTAAGCTCTTCAGTTGGTCACTATTCTCGCCTTTACTATTGTCTACCAACAATGAGGTCACGACATTATCTTCTCTCTTATGCTCTTTTTTTTAATCCTTGACCAATTTCATCAGTGTGTTACCTGCCTGGTACATAAGTTTTTGTAACTATAACCCTGGTTTTTCAAATATTTTATTTTTATGTATTTTCCAGGAACATTCACCCTCCTGCTATACTCAGAGACCATAATCTTACCTTTTAAGACAATTCAAACTTCCTTTGACATTGACACATTCTAAAGCTTGGGTTGATTGTTCCCTGGTTTTCCTCTCTACTTATCCATAGAACATTCATCACATAATGGCTCAATTATTTATTAATATTTATCCCACATGAAATCATGATACACACTCAAAGAAAAAGAGAGACTGACTCAAGCATTTACTGGGATCATCAATTCACTCTGAAGGTAAGATTTGTAAAATGTGAGTTGAGGTAGGTAGGGAGTTGGTACATGGATTAGAATTGGAGAAGAACTTTGTTTAGAAATGTATAATTCTGATGAGAATGTAAATTTGTAAAGACATTTTGGATAGCAAAAATAATCTGTGTTCCTAACAATCCATCATTTTCACTTCTCAGCATCTACCTTAGAAAAATTCACTTGTGACCCCAAAAATATTCACTTTAATTAGTTGCTTATTTTAGCATCTAATTAAATTGCAAAGATTTGGAAACAAATAACCAAAAAAAGTGGGAGAATAGCTAAAGAAATTGTGATTGTCTATATTATAAAATACTTCACAGAGTTAAATAAGATAGATCTTTATCTTTTATGTAAAGCTATTCATAACTTAGCAATTCAAAAGAAAAAGCAGTGGAACAAAATATACAGTTATGAGAATATTACATAAAGATAAATAAAAATGAGACTCCATATGTAAGTATGTTAGGACATACATAGATAAAAGGGTCTGAAAGGAGACCCACAAAAGTAGTATTATAAAAACAGGTATCTCCAGTGTAGGAACAAGATTTTGAATGTCATGAAAGGATATTTTACATGTACATCAAAATACAGAAACAAGAAAAAACAATAAACATCCTTATACCTACAGTTTACTACCATTAGCTATTGCATTTTGCTTCTACTTTTTCCTTTGTGAAAATGATGCATGTTTAAGTATTTCAGTGCTCCACACTACACATTTAATATAACATTCCACATCACGCCACTCAGAAAGTAACCATCTTTTATATTAGGTACACACAATTCCAAAATTATGAATAGACAGTTATACAGGTATTATTAAATATGACTTTATACTGTAGAGAGATGCTTTTTTAAAAAGAAAAGTATTAATTTCAATTTTATTTAACTTATCAAAAGAGTAAAGGAGTTCTTGAATTTAAAATGTATGATGCATTACCATAGACATATTATTACCTAAATTATAGCTTAAAGGTTGAAAAAAACTAAGGGAAAAAAAATCATGAGAAAGTGTTTTCTTAACCTCGTGTTTCAGTTTAATGTAATAACAGTTCACTCCTACTGTGAAAGACAAGGATAATAGTTTGCTCAGACTTGCTTCTTCTCCCTTACCTCTTCCCTCCTGATGCTTTATTTTACACCAAAAACTTTCTTTTAATAGTCTCTTCTGTAAGCAAAATTTGACATTGTCTTATGTATACATTTATTTACTGCCCGCCATCTATCCTGAATGTGCAGTTTATCCATTTTTTGTAAGATTCCTTTTCATAATATCTTAAATCACAAGATTTGATCATTGGATTTCTTTTAATTAGAGAGATTCGTGGATGCTTCATTCCCTGAGATATTTCATGTTTTTGAGGGCCTACCTGTTGCCTTTATATTTGAATACCTTGGGTGGTTATAATATTTTTGGACCATAATTTCCTACCTGCAGAACATTGTTGCTGTAGAGAAATCTGAGGCTCATCTGATTTATTTTTGCCTTATAAGTGCTTTTTTATTTTTGATGTATGAAATGTCTGCCTGTATTCTTGATGCTCAGTAGTTTAACTAGCAGCTTGAATATTTTATATCAAATTGTCATGGAATATTTCATGAGCTTTCAATATTAGGATACAGTTTTTAAAAATTCTAAACATTTCATCCTGGCCAACATGGTGAAACCCCGTCTCTACTAAAAATACAAAAATTAGCCAGGTGTGATGGAGCATGCCTGTAGTCCCAGCTACTCGGGAGGCTGAGGCAGAAGAATCGCTTGAACCCGGAAGGCAGAGGTTGCAGTGAGCCGAGATCACGCCACTGTACTCCAGCCTGGCTACAGAGTGAGATTCCACCTCAAAAAAAAAAAAAAAAAAAATTCTGGACTTGTTTTATTATATATTTGATTGAATTATATTTCATATTAAGTACTCCAGTTATCCTTACATTGAAAGATGTTTATCAATTTATTTTATATGCTCTTGTAAACATTTCCTTTCCATCAGTAATTCAATTCAAAATGATGTCAATGTCATTCCTTGTTTCCATTCATGTGTTACTTTTGACGTTGTTTTGAATTTGCTACCCAAACCTGCGGTGTTCTCTGCCATCTCCTTCTGTCACCCTTTTATCTTGTCTTTCAGTTATTTTATTAAAGGAAAATTATTTTTATGAAGTAAATTATTTCTTTGAAGTAATAGTTGAGAAGTTGTGAATAACTTTCCTCTCTTCCTTGAAATATATTTTTCTTTTAGATCTATTTTTATTTTTTCATGATTTTTTAATTTTCTTTCTTTATTTTCTTTCTCCCCACCTACCCATCTTATCCCCCACCACCTATGTCACCTTGGTAGAGGGAACCCAGAGAAATGACGTCAGTTCCACATTTCTTTTTAAAAAATTATTTTTAGGTGATGGGTACATGTGCAGCTTTGTTACATAGGTAAATTTGTGTCATAGGGGTTTGTTATGCAGATTATTTCATCTCCCAGGTATCAAACCTAATACCCATTAGTTATTTTTTCCTGATCCTCAACCTCCTCCTACCCTCTGCCCTCTGATAGGCCCCACTGTGTGTTGTTCTCCTCTATGTGTTCTCATCATTTAGATCCCACTTGTAAGTGAGAACACGTGGTACTTGGTTTTCTGTTCCCTCATTAGTTTGCTAAGGATAATGGCCTCCAGCTCCATCCATATCCTGGCAAAGAACATGATCTCATACTTTTTAATGGCTTCATAGCATTCCATGGTGTATATGTAGTGCATTTTCTTTATCCAGTTCATCATTGATAGGCATTTAGGTTGATTCCATGTCTTTGCTATTGTGAATAGCATTGCAATGAACATATGTTTGCATGTGTCTTTATAATAGAAGGATTTATATTCCTTTGGATATATGCCCAGTAATGGGACTGTTGGGTCCATATTTCAGTGTATCACCCTGAAGTCTCAGCCTTCATTAGAGGCAGTCTGTTCACTACCTTTTTCACCAGGTTCCAATCCTCTTAAGTAAAACAAAAAAGCTGAAACTTATATATGTTAATCATGCTTTTTTCCCCAATTGAGTGCATTAGTAAGAATCCTCAAATTGTTGTTGACACACAGGGCTGGTGGGATCTAGGTGAGAAGCGCAATCTCACTGTGGCTCCTACCTCCCTCTACACTCATCTGTTTCTTTCATGTGCCACCTGTTTTCAAAGTCCATCAAATTCAGTTCTCAATCCTACATGTATGTTAGATTCATTTGGAGAGTTTATTTTTTTTAATGCTAACACTGATTTAGACCTATGCGCTAGGTCTAAATCAGTGAATCTGGTTTAATGGATCTGGGGGATGAATCCAGGCATTCTTATTTTTTGAAGTTACCTGGGAAATTCTAATAGCCAGACAAGTTTGAGGGCTCTTCCATTATTCTATAAGTCTCTTCTTATTTGATGGCTATTACTAATTACTTTTATGGAGATGGGGTTAAATTTTTTTCAGTTAATTAAGGGACACAGTATCAATTCACTCTCTCAACCTTGGAAGTTCTTGCAACCTGTAGAATCAGATATCTCTATAGCAAACAGTCCACAAATTTCAGAGTCCTATGAGAAGAAAGGTTTATTTTTTCTACGTCTTACAAGAAAGTTTCAATGTAGATGTTCTGGACTGTATAGCTCTCTTGAGTGGCTCTTCTTAAAGTGGTGGCTAAGAAATCATGGCTAACCAAGTTATGGCTTCACCATGTTCAACATGTAATTTGGAAATTATCCTGTCATCCTCGGCTGACTGATGGGGAAAGAGAGAGGAAATGGGGGAAGCACACCCTCTTCTCAACACCACTATCTGGAAGATGCTTTATGTGGAGTAAATTAGATGTTAGGTCATGGACCATTAAGAAAACACAGATTTGTTTGAAAACCAGCCAATCTCTGCCACACAAGCTCTCTAAAGTTTTAGCATTTTTCCACAGCAAAATTCATGTATTATTTGCTATAACTAAATTGGATTTTTAAAATAAAAAATAAATTAAATACTTTTGGCAAAGATGTCTGGCAATGAAGAGACTAAGCTGCCTGGAAAAGAGTTTTCTGAAAAAGGGAAAAATAATGGTGAATTGGGTAGAATAAGCCAACAAACAGAAACTTCGACATCCAGCCAGAGAGCTTACATTGGATACAATTGACAACAGCCACAAAGTTCCTTGAGCAGGCGCAGAAACATGACACATTATGCCAATTTGAGTTAAAGTGCAGAAAATTAGACAAAATATTTTCCAAATTCCCCAACAATATCAGAAAATAGTGTACATGGGCAGAAATTGTAGTTCTTCTTGTCGTCCCAATTTATTCACAATTTCCTGGCAGAATGAGTAAAATGGAACTTCAGTTTCTATGCTCCCAATCATTCCCTTGACCAACAAGTGCAAAACTATGGAGACAGGAGTGTTTACAGGAAAAAGAAAACACATCCAGAGGGCAAACACTGTATCTCAACAAGAGCCTCCCAATTTTTATAGAAAAAGAAATAATAAAAACAGATAAATAAGTGTCCACATAATCTGGGAGGGAAGAATGGCCTCGATCCCTGCGGGTGTTTGTTTGCAACAAAACTGTCTAAACGAAGCTCAACTTCTCTCTCGAACAAATTCCAGAGCCTCCCTCTAAGAGGAGGCTAGTGAAGTTGCAGTCTACAGCTGAATAACCTCACAATTCCTGCTTTTATCCTTTCTCTGCCATATTCTGATTTTTCAGAAGCAATGGGTAATGGTTTCCCAAATTATGGTACTGTGTCGTGTAGGCTAGGCTCACTGGGTGACACCAGCTCTGGGAACTGCTGCAGGATCAGGATATTGCAGAAAGCTTCCCTGGGCATAAAGATCATAAAGCTGAAACTTAATCCAGGACCTCTCTTCTTGCCAAACCAGGAACCTCTGCCTCACTCGCTCCGCAGGGTGGTCCCCATGGGATCCCTTGACACTGAAGGATCAGGGTTTTCTAATTATTGTTATCCTGGAAAAAGTGCCTTTTTCCAGTCTGCATAAAGGCCCCATAAAGAGAACTGTAAACCATTCCAAATAGGAGCACTTTCTGGCTGATACTTGATCAGAAGGGATCCCTGTCTTTGAGACAGCATGACAAGTCCTTTACCATTTTATTTTTCTGGTCACGGCCAGGTTGAAAGTGACTTTTCCCATCCACTATCACTTTACAACGGCATTTTCTTGTCAAGGACCAGACCTGGGACTTTGCATATGTTTTTTTCAGAGGCCTATCAGATCATTCACTGAACTCCAAATAGAAGCCTTGTTTCTCTCATTCACATCCTATGATAACAGTAATAGTCAATATTTTTGAAGTCTTTCTGTAGACTACATTCTGGGCTAATCACTTTACATCCATACATTTACCTAGGTCCTACGACTGGTCTATGAGGTGGATAGTATTACTCCCATTTCAGGAGAAGACCCAGAGAAAAATAACTATTGCATAATAATGCAATAGTTAACTTGTATTGGAAACCATATTTCTGTGACTCAAAGGTCCATATGCCAATCCAACTTCCTGTACACGCTGACTGTAGCATTTCAGTGAAGTTTCATCAAGATCCTGTCCGCAATAGGTGCTGCTTAAAGGGAAAAACAAGGTATAATCACTATTTGTTCTAGTCTTTCTCAGTCCTTATCAGTGGTGTAATATCAGGTCTATCATAAAGCTGCTTTGGATTTAGGTTATTTTGCTATATAATCAGGATTTTAATCCCTTCTTTACATTGTTTAATCCCTTCTTTACATTGTTTCTGAAAGGTCCAGATTCTCTTTGTCAGTTATTTTTATATTTCTTCAAAAAAAATATCTGAGTGTTTCTATATGTCAGGAATTGTTCTAAGTGCTGGGGATACAATGATAAACAGACAAGACCATTGCCCTCATGGAACATGTAGTCTCAGTGAGGAAGTCCAATAAAGAAGAATTAATGTGACAGGCAATTCCCAGAAGTGCCCCTTAAGAACTGTCTCTCTGAAAAGGTGACATTTGAATAGAGAGAGATCTACAAGCGTGAGGGAAGAAGCCCTACTAAGTTTTTTTATTTTTTATTTCATTTTATTTTTTTGAGATGGAGTCTCGCTCTGTCACCCAGGTTGGAGTGCAGTGGTGGGATCTGGGCTCACTGCAACTTCTGTCTCCCAGGTTCAGACCATTCCCCTGCCTCAGCTTCCCGAGTAGCTGGGACTACAGGCTCCTGCCATGCCCCGCTACTTTTTTTTTCTTAATTGCTTTTTTTAGTAGAGAAGGGGTTTCGCCATGTTGCCCAGGCTGGTCTCAAACTCCTGACCACAAGTGATCCACCCACCTAGGCCTCCCAACGTGCTGAGATTACAGGCGTGAGCCACTGTGACCAGCCCCTACTAAGCTTTGGGGAGAGACTATTTCAGTTGAAAGTCAACACAAATTTCAGAGACTTGTAGAAGGGAATTAGTATACTTAAGAAACAGTATGTTTAATTAAGGCTATGTTTGCACAAATGCTTTATAATTTGTTCTTGTTTCTTCTGAATCATACTTTATTTATATTATTTATTTTTAATTAAAGAAGCAAGTGACAAAAATTGGAATTTCCTGCAGGATAGGGAGTCAGTGGAATCTTTGCCACTATGAATACTTTGATGTTCATCAGAACAATACTCCTTAGCAAGAAGCTCCAAGAGCACCTCAGCCAGAGGGAGAAGATGCTAATCAGAGGAGAATATAGAAACGTAGATGGGAGTCTCCCGTCCCACATTTGGTGTGTGTCTGGTGTATGTGTGCATATGTGTGTATGTGTGCATATGTGGGCATGTGTGTATGTGTGTGTGATTGTGGAAATAGTTCCATTAGATGGCAGGAAAGGACACTTTCAGTACCCTATGATAAAATATAAAATAGAACAATAAAGTAGAAAAAAGACTTGGGGTGGGTCCATTTAATGTAACTGTAAGGTGAAAAAAAAAAAAAAAAACAATCCAGAAGAATACAGGGACTAGTGGATAATAGATTATAATGTATAGTCTTATAATAGCCAATTATTTATGATTGCACCAATATCATCCACAGATGTGGCGCATCGTGATTTATGTATTGATGTTTTGTTTCTTCTGTTCACATTGGCACTTTTGTGGGACTAGCCCCCACCCCACCCACACCCCCACCATCAACCTCACGGTTGCCATAAAGAAGCACAATTTTGCCGCATGTTGTTCTGAATTCCTGCTAACATTTGATTGATTCAGATGAGACACTAAGACCAAACTATGCAAGTTTCTTCCCATCATTTTTTGGACTAAAAAAGAGATTGTTTGCTCATGGTTTCCATGTCCATGGGAGAAATAATAAAGATCTGGAAATCGATGAACATATTTTATGTCCAATGACCAGAGAGATGGAAGGGGAAATTTTGCATTAAAAGGTGGGGTGGAAATGAAGTAGCTATGGAGAGGTGATCAGAGACAAGAGACAAGGAACAAATCCTTGTTGAAGGACAAGACGTTGAAGTCCCTGGTTCTAGTTGTTTGCAAAGCCTGGCAGGTTTCCTATCCTTGAATTCCATGAGACAGCCTCATCTCCTACTTGTATTTTACATTTATTATTTAAGGTAGTTGGTGTTGGGATTTATTTGCTTGTTAAGTGAAGAATACTTACTAGAAATGTCCATATATGTTCTATTTTGATCTTCACAATATCTCTGTGAGGTATATATTTCCTCCATATTATGGATAAGAATTCTGAATAAGAAACTAAGTGAGGAGTATACAATCACATAACTTTGGAGCAGAAGGCCTCCCTTCAACATGGTCTTAAGCATAAAACTGCGCAAGAAGTGGATGAAATTATGTTTATGGATTCAGCTTGCAATTTCTAAAGATTTCTAAAAATTTGCTATCCAACCAGTCAGAAGGATTGCTTCACAACAGGTCTGGCACCTATTGCTGGCTGTGACATCTGTCTTCCAGGTTGCTTTCACAGAATTCATTTTTGTTGGTGTGTAAAATTACACGCAAGGAAAGGACTGAGGGGTAATACAGGTGGAACCCTGCATCTTTGCACAGGAAATCCCTTATACAAATTGTGGTCCTCCATCAGTAACTGCTAGCTCCAAATCCCAGAAAAAAATAGAAGCCTTTTTAAAAAGTCCCAACATACTGGCCCAGCACCCATAAGATGGCTTCCATCAGCACACACCTCTTTCTCTTTCTCTCTTATTTCAGTAAGAAATGTGTCCATTCTCCCTCCAAGACTAATCATTCCACTTATATTTTGAAAATCTTCTCTACCTGCCCTTCTGGGACTTTGTTTTCTTCGTTAATTTTCCACCTTTTATCCTTGCTTATATGTCTCTCTCTCTCTCTCTCTTTCTCTCTCGATAGAAAGATAGATAGATTAGATAGATAGATAGATAGATAGATAGATAGATAGATAGATAGATGATAGAGTTTGTTTTGAGACAGAATCTCACTCCCAGGCTGGAGTGCCGTGGCACAATCTCGGCTCACTGGAACTTCTGCCTCCTGGGTTCAAGCGATTCTCCTGTCTCAGCCTCCAGAGGAGCTGGGATTACAGGCATGCACCACCACGCCCAGCTAATTTTTGTATTTTTAGTAGAGATGAGGCTTCACCATATTGTCCAGGCTGGTCTTGAACACCTGGCCTCAAGTGATCCACCTGCCTTGGCCTCTCAAAGCCCTGGGATTACAGGCATGAGCCACCATGCCTGGCCACTTCTCTAAATATTTTTTTAAATAATTAGAAAGCCTTTCTAGGATCACATAGACCCCTCTATAGCCCTAGTTCTTCACTATCCAAAAAGGAAGTTCCTGAGAAATTGATATATGCCTGTTGTAGTCATGTATTTTTCAACCCACTATAATTCAGCTTATTTTCCTCATAATATCATAATAATTTCTCACTCCGTTGTCAAAAATAAGTTATTTTTTCTAAAACATCGTGAACTGTTTTCAGCCCTTATCTTTATTATTCTCTGACATTACTTAACACTGCGGACAGTTCCCTCTTTCATAAACTGACTCCTTTAATTTTTTCCTTTAATCTGTGACCAATACCCAGTGTCCTGTACAGCATTTTATCCTTTTTTCCCCTTTTTTCATCCTTCACTTGTTATTCTGTAAGCTTCTTTCCTTTGCATTCTATAGTTGATCTATTGCTGAACACCTCCACTAATACAGCTTAGTTAACTACCCATAATCTAGATACCACAGCTTATGGCAAAACTTGAATGTCCCACTGCTAACAGGACGTCTCTCTCTGAGTATATCACCAGAACTGAAAACATTCTTTCCCCCTGCAGTGAAAATCAACAACATCAACAAAGTCACTCAATTCAGAAAATAAGAAGTTACTTTTGGCTCCTCTTTTTGTATCTCTCCTGTCTTTAAGTAAACACCAAATTAAGGTTTCACTCTCCAAAATGTATTTCCCAAACATTTTTTCATCTTCGGCATCATAATTCTTGTTCATCTGTTGTCATACTCTCTGATTATAGCCTTGTTTATCTATTCCATTCTGCAGACAGGTAGTAAGAGTCTAGTAGTACATAACTCTGACCCTGTCAAACTTTTGCGTCAGATTCTTCAATAGATTTCTATTGCTTTTACAGTAATGTTTGATGTCTTAACATCTCACCTCTTACCCCAAGGTCAGGGATTGTGTCTATTCTGCTCGCAGCTAGCTGTGTTCCAGTGCCATAGCACAGTCCCTGGTACATAATAGGGGCTAGTCATATAAATAAAGCTATGTTTACCTACTTTGCACTGTGGTAAATATACCAACAAGGATTATATAATGAAAATATCTTGGAGTCCAGAGAAACTGAGTTGTCATTTCTACTCTGCCTCCAACTTACTGCATGAGCTTGTAGCAGACAGGTTTTGCAACCTGAGACCCAGCTGATCTTTAAGGAAGTTTCCTAAAACTCTGACAATCTGTGGACCTGTTTGTTTACCAACCCTCTAATTTGTCTGCATGAGAAGTCACAGATAAATAAAAACAGAAAAAGAGATAAATGATTCAAAACTCACTAATGTACAGAACCTGTAAAGATAAAATAGTTTCAACCATGCGTTTTTATTCCATGAACATTTAATAGTTACATAGGGAAGAAACAAAAGTGTCCCCATATCTCTTTATTTAATTGAACAAGTAGAGTACACATTCCCATTAACTGTGATGCCATGTATGGATTAATTTATGTTGTCCATATAAATCAAAGAAAAGAAAATGAAAAGCTAACAGGTCTCAATGCCTGTTAGCTTGTAAACACCAGCATACACTATTATAAATTTGTGGAGTGGCCACTTTAGTCCATCCATACATTGTCATCTGAAATTATTATTCCTGCCGAAAGAGTTCAAGATGTATACACACTAATGTTTTTGTGAAAATGTTAATTTGTAAAAAGATACCACCTGCCCCAATTGTATGTATAATTTCAAAATAATCAATGCATATAAATTCCTAAAAGAAAAATCTCTGAAAAACACTTGATAGTTAAAAATCTTTAGTGAAATGATTCACCAGTTGAGATGACAAAATTGTCTCAGTCCATTCTGCAGCTATAAGAAAATAGTAGAGATTGGGTAATTTATAAATAATAGAAATTTATTTTCCACAGTTCTGGAGGTTGGGAAATCCAAGATTAAGGTGCCTGCAGATTCAATGTCTGGTGAGGACTTTCTCTCTGCTTCTAAGATGGCACCTTGTTGCTGTATCCTCCAAAGAGGACAAACACTGTGTCCTCTCATGGTGAGAGGTGAAAGGGTAAAAGGGACTAATTCTCTTCCTCAAGCTTTTTTTGTAAGGCATCAATCCCACCTATGAGGGCTCTGCCCTCATGTCCTAATCACCTCCCAAAGGCCCCACTTAATACCATGACCGGCAGGTTTAAATGCAACATATGAATTTTGGAGGAACACATGCATTCAAACAAAAAATCTTATCTGAGAAGAGAAGCTCAATACATTTTCAACAAGGCAAACTGGACCTCCTACATTCACAACAGTTTTCCTATCTGAATAATGTTTAATGGCATCTATAATACCAACTTATCTTGTTTCCACTGACATTATTATAAAAAACACCAGAATACTTCATTCTATGTTTTTTACTGAATTGCAATTATCACCAACTGGCAATGGAAAACTAGGGAATGACATGTTATTTCCTGGGTACCCTGTCATTCAAAGTGGCCAATATATTAACAATATTGCATTGACTACCTTAAGAATTATTAATGATCAGAGTAACCACCCATTACTTTGTTATGACAGATATATTTAGTATCCATATACAGAAGTAACTAAATATAAGTTGCTGCTTAGAAAAATGTATGAAATCATGGCAGCTGCAGTTGTTATTCTTAATAATATAATATGATCTTTTCAGTCTACTTTTTACACTAGCGTCAGATGCCAACAGTAAAATTAAGAAAAAGAGGAGAACAGGTTATCTTTAGCATTTCTCCAGTTCTCCTTTCAACTTTCTACCTCTATGTGGTATCACAGTCAGTCACACCACAGTCAAATCCAGCCTTCATGCTGTGTTCCGGGCACTCAAGAGGATCCATTCACAGTTCAGGCCTCTTCAACTGATACCCATGTGCAGGATCCTCCAGTTCCTCCACACCAAGGCATTTCAACTTCTAGTTCTGTGCCTGTTCATTGCTATCTCCTCTTGGATGGTGTCAGTTGGAAAGGATTGTTTTACTTCATGAGGAGTGCTGTTTATTTGCTTTCTTTCATTCCAATAATAAAAAAAAGGGTATTGAAGGTGTGCTTCCCATCCTCTATGGCTCCACCCTTCACTCTTTCTTTTTAATAAGAGGAGTGATTTATCTGATTATGTAAGCCCAATCTCCTGACCTTTAATTTCTTGCCTGTGCTGCATGCTTTATGGAGAGAAAAGCCCTGGAAATGGTTTGGCTGCATCTCCCATTTGGTGAGAGGACCAGGCTAGACCTGCAAGAGTAAATCTACCATCCTCCATGTTCTCACCTTGTCACTAGGTGAGAGTTCAGTTCATTTCAATAGGGAAAGAAAGAGAAAGGCTTTCTCAATCCTCTGGTCTAAGATGGGTTCTCCATTCTAGGTTTACTAGTAATGGTGCCTCTCCCTATTTCTCTTTGATTTTTTTAACCCAGAAGAGAGGAGAGATACTCAGAGCTACTCAATATGCATAGCAAACTATACCGTGTTCTCATTAAAACAGTATGTTATACAGTAGTTATTACAATGAAATACATCTTTTAAGATGTTTCATTTATCATTGATGGCCTAAAGAGAAAGATATTTGAGGTGAGGAGACTTGTTTAATGCACCATACACACAGGCAAACAACGATCTCTCCATAACTCCACCTCAAAGAAACATATTTAAGGTTAGCCATGCCATCAGATTTTATATCATTTTGCTTAAAAATGCAGACTCTACATCCAGTGCATATGGCATCTGTTTCTTGCATATATCAGTGACCTTGACCAAATTACTTACATTTTCTGTGCCTCAGTTTGCGTATCTGCAAAATGTGGATAATATTGCCAACTTCATAGAATTGTTTTGAGGGGTGCATGAATTAATAATTGAAAACTCATAGAATATGAACTAGAACATAATAATCATTCAAGCTCAATAAATGTTTGTTACTATGATTATGGTTATAATTATGATCATATTTTATTCCTTTTTTAGCTCTTCTACCTTTCCCTTGTATCTTCTTCCCTCTTCTTCTCCCTTCTTTTCACTCTCATGAGTTTCTATCCTTCATATGTATCCATCATATATCCTGCAATATATTGGTTGCCTTATTTCTTCCTCCTTGGGATGCATTCTCTTCTGGAGTTTGGAGGAAATTGACATTCACAGTTCGTGGTTAATGTACTACAAATTAGGTGGACACTCAGAATACACTAAACAACTGAAAGTATTGCAGACATTTAAAGGTGTTAAAGCTAATTGCTCCCACTGGAATTTATCCAGAACAGTCATGGAAAATGCATTGTGAAGATTTTATTGACTATAAGTGGCAAAGACCTTGGTTTTATATATCCTCTAAATGACAACACCTCTCTTTTCTCCGTTGTCTGCCAGAAATAGAAGACAAGGTTAGGCTCCACATGGAGTTACGTCCAGCATCAATTGGACCTAAAATGTCATAAAACTAATTCTTTTCAGGCATAGCAGTAACATTATAAAGTATGTGGGAAGCCATCTGGCAGAGACACAAAATCTGAGTTTCTCTGACCTGCAATTCTCAACCTGTTATTCACTAGCTATGAGGCTTGGAAAAGTGACTTACTGCTTCTTCACCTGAAAAAAATGAGAATTAAAACATCTGTATAACAATTTTGCTGTGAGGATGAAAGGAGATAAACAGTACCAGTGTTCCTTGCACAAGGCCCAGATCAGACTAAGTAATCCGTAAATGTTACTCTTATTCACATGATTTGAAAACATTCCTTTGTTGTTTTCAGACTTCACTTTGGCTGAAATCTAGGTGAATAAGTCACCTATTTTATGTGTAAGTACTCAAAAACATAGAAAGAGTAAACGATATCCTCAAATCTAAGCTAAAGTTTAAAAGGATCCCTTTTCTATAGACGCTATTGCTTCTGAGACACTCTTGTGACCAGTCAATAATGAGGATGCTGAGTTTTTTATTATTCGTTTATTTCATGCATTAAATGAAGGATTTTTGACACTTTTTATAGGTTGGCCACTATTCTAAGTGCTGAATAAGACAAACAAGTTTCCTGTTCTCAAAAGGCTTAATTTTCAGTGACGAAGAGTTAGAACAAATAAGCAAACAAGCAAGATAATTACAGAATATCAAGAGCGCTATGAATAAACTAAAACAGGAAAATGTGAGAGACAACGTCTGGGTGGGGGTTATGATTTTACTTATAGATCCTTCTGACAAACATTTGAACTATTTCTCAATATAATGAGAAGAATCCAGCTTGTGACAACCTCTGAGAAGAGTCTTCCAACCAGAGGAGAGAAAATCTTCAAAGGTCTAGAGGTAAGAATGAACTTAGAAGATTAAAAGAATACAAAGAAGGCCCATGCAGCTGGAGCAAGGAGACTTTAGAAGAAATAGTAGAGAGACCAGAGAGGGAAAAAAGGGCTAGGGCAGAAGCACCCTGAGACCATGAGCCAGGCTCAGGTCTCATTCCCTATGCAACGGGGACTGACTGAACAGGTGTAAGCATGGAAACACCTTGATCTGAATGCTTCTAATATTTTCAAGAATCTCTTTAGCTTAGAAGTGAAAAAAGGTTTAGATTACTAGATCTGAAAGAAGCTAATAGGTCTTTAGCCCCAAATTCTTAATTTTAAAATGAAAAAACAACTGCAGCCACAAAAAAAGGAACTAATTTATTCAAAAGCTTACATTCCATTACTAGTCAAAGCAGGACCCAAACTCAGAACTTTAGTATCTTGGCCTATGCTCTTTCTACATAAGGGCCCCAAACTTTGCTTAATGTTACTTAAGTCCTCAATGATGCTTAATTCCAGGAGAATAAAGTAGACAAAATACCTCATCAGAACCCTCCCAAGAATCTGTAAGAGTCTCCAGGGATTGCCCCATCTATCAGCCAGTTAGTCTATTCTGATCTGTCTCTCCTTCTCTGTCTCATTCCTTTCCATTTACTGTTCTTGTGAGAACACTAATGCCTGTATCTGGGGAACCAGGCTCCATGCTCCAAAATCCATCAGTCCCAAAGTTCCTGCAGCACTGGGAAATGGTTCTTTCCAAGCTCCACACAGCATTGTGTCTTCTGAGCTGCTACTCACAATTTATGCTACTTTGACCACGGACTCACAGAACTCCAATTAAAATAGCTTCTTCACAGTCTCCCCTAACCACTCCCTCTTCAGGAACCAAAACTGAGCCAAGCAGCTGGGCAGAGATATGCTCCCCTCATTTCTCTCTGCTCCATCCCCTCTTTCCCCATCCCTCCTGCATCAATCAACAATTAAATATCCTCCTGCCCACATAAAAACACAAGAGAAAACCTATGCATTTCAATGTATGCAGTTGGGTACCCAAAGAGTAATTTCTCCATATTTGGCTTTTCAAACAGCTAAACTTTGGATCCCATTCCAAGAACTCAAAGATTCCATGCTAAGTGAGAACCAAGGAAGATATGGCTACTGATTGGAGTTGCAGACACTGCCTTAAATCCTTTCTGCTGTGGCCTTAGCAAGTAAACTTTTGATTTTTAGGAAGGTGTTAATGTCACAAAGGGAAGCGCTGTATTTTTCCATGACTTTAGCAATGCCATTACTGCCCAGAGAATGCTGAAAGCATTTAGTGCTTGAAAGACTTCTTAATAAGACACTCCTCAGCTAAGGAGGTTTTCCTTAATTTATAGAGGAAGTAATCAATCACTGCACTAGAAAATACATCCTACCCATTGAAGTGATACTCCTACAAGGTCCGTCCCGCTGAACTGGATGGTCTCAGCCAGGGCATGTGGGGCAGCCTCTCTCTGCCATTGGGATTTTTTTTGTTTGTTTTTTGTTTTTCTTTTTTGAGACGGAGTCTCGCTCTGTCACCCAGGCTGGAATGCAGTGGCACGATCTCGACTCACTGTTAGCTCTGCCTCCCAGGTTCACGCCATTCTCCTGCCTCAGCCTCCCAAGTAGCTGGGACTACGGGCACCCACCACCACGCCCGGCTAATTTTTTGTATTTTTAGTAGAGACGGGGTTTCACTGTGTTAGCCAGGATGGTCTCTATCTCCTGACCTCGTGATCTGCCTGCCTTGGCCTCCCAAAGTGCTGGGATTACAGGCGTGAGCCACCACGCCTGGCCTGCCATTGGTTTTCAAGGCACCCTCATGAATTTTGTCATTGCATCAGAGGCCTTAAAATCTAAAAGAGCAGGGGTTTGAAAAACAGGTGCGTGGGGTGATATATGAAGTGAGAGGAGGTTTATATTTTCTGGGACTAACTGGAAGAAAAAAGCTTCTAGGTATTCCTGAAGGTATAACTGACTCTTATGCCTGTGGACAGTGACCATCTGTAAAATTTGGAAACTGGTTGTTGATGATCAAACTGCGGACTATAAGATATACAGGGAGCACTGGGTTGTCAAACACCTGTGACTTTCCTTTTCAAAATAAGGGGAAAAGACAAAAGGAAGATAGGAGGAAACAGAAAAATCAAGAAGAAGGGCAGGAGAAACGAAAGATAAAAGAAACTGTAACACTTCAAGGAACCCGAAGAGACAGAGGAAGGTGAAATCTAGAATCACAATATGCCCATAATTGCTTAGCAACCTGGCTAACTTGAGCCAAATCTTGTGTCACTCTTATTTTCAAATACTCAGGAGCTCCAAGCAATAGCTGTTCCCTGTATCACATAATTTATGAAAGTATAAAAACACAGGCTCCACAGCTGCTCTGCAGACACACCACATCACACTGGCCTGAGCTCTTGCTGGTTTTTCTGAACACATAGATAGCTCTAGGGCTGCTGCTTTCTGACCTCCAGGTCCTAGATGTGATCCTTACCATTCACAGAGAAGAAAGGTTTTGGCCACTAGGAACAACTAGGAGATATGTCACTCTCCTGCTCCCACTGAGGCATTGCTATAAGGGCCTCTATGGACTGAAGTGTGAAGTAACCACCCAGTATTTTCCTTTCCTTCGCTCAGGATTTTAGTAAGAGAAAGCATTCACTCCTCCCCGAATAAAATCTGTTTTCAGAGAAATCATTTACATCAAGTCATCAGAATAATTCCCTCCCATATGTGTTTAGACTCTAAGTTGAAAAGAATGAATTGCTAAGTGGGGAATTTTAGTTTCTAGCCAGCCTTATGAGGAGTCTTTTGTCATCTGGATCATAGCAAAATCATCCTTGATATGGTCTTTAAGATTCTAAGTGTTATGGCTTCTTCCTAGGTCCCTAAATTTTATCCTGCAACTTGTGACACTCCTCTTTCCTCTCCACCCACCATCCCATCAGTCACAGGACCTTGGTACATCTTCCTTCCTTCCTTCCTTACCTCTCTCTCTCTCTTTCCTTCCTGTCTGCTTGCTTGCTTTTTTCTTTCCTTCCTTTCTTTCTTTTCTTTCTCTTTCTTTCTTTCTTTCTTTCTTTCTTTCTTTCTTTCTTTCTTTCTTTCTTCCTTCTTTCTTTCTTTTTTCTTTCTTTCTCTCTCTCTCTATTTCTTTCTTTCTCTTCAACTCTTAAGTTCGGGGTTACATGTGCAGGATGTGCAGGTTTGTTACATAGGTGAACTTGGGCAGTTTACTGCACCTGGGTACTAAGCCCAGCATCCATTAGCTATTTTTCCTGATGCACTCCCTCCCATAGACAGGCCCCAGTGTGTGTTGTACCCTCCCCCCAACCCACATTGTGTCCATGTGTTCTCATCATTCAGTTCCCATTTATAAGTGAGGACATGCTCTTCTTTCTACATGGAGCTCTCTGCTGCTGCTCTTCACGCAGATAAATTCAGCGTAGCCTTCACATCTCGGCTCAAGTGTCACTCCTTCACAGAGGCTTTCACTGCATCTTCAGACTAGATCTGGCCTCCTTACTATTGATGCTCACAGAACCATGTGCTACTTGCCTGTAGTGTTTATCAAGTGTTTTTTATTAGCATCATTTGATCAATAGTCATCTCTTCCCCTGCACTGTAAATGACATGATGCTAGAAATTTCTGTGATTTTATTTTGTCTTTAGTGTTCTCCCAGAACCGCATGAAAATCCAGAAGGAGAATAATCCTGACAGAGACAAAAGCTCTTCTAAAGGTCCTAAGCTAAGACTGAGCCTGGCATGCTCCGGGTAACAGAAGAGGGCTGATGTGGCTGTTCAGTGGGCAAAGGAGAGAAATAGCAGGAGATGAGATTAAGGAGGGAGTCAGGGACTGAGGGTGTCAAAAATTCAAGGTCTAGTTCTGGATTGGACTCTAGGAAGATGAGAAAACATTGAAGAGGATTTTTAAATGTTTGTTTTATCTTACTTTTTATTTTCAAATAATTTGGCCTACAAGAAGTCGCCAAAGTAATACAGACAGTGCTCCAGCATGCCTTCCAAGCAGCTTTCCATAACTATACTACCTACGCACTGTGAAAACCAAGAAATGTCCATTGATACAACACTACTAAAACACTAGTAACTAAACTGCAGACAAGATTTCATCAGTTTTACATGTAGAGTGTATGTGTGTGTGTGTGTGTGTATTACTGTGAAATCACATCACATGTATGGATTTATATAACTCACACCACAATCAGGGTATAGAACTGTTCTATCACTACAAAGAAACTCCTTCCTGCTACCCCTTTACAGTCACAAGTACTGATCTGTTATTCATTACTGTTTTTCATTTCTGCAAAGTCATATACACGGATTCACACAACATATAACATTTTGCAGTTGGCTTTTTTTCACTCAGCATCATGTCCTTTTGTTATGCTCATCTTACAGAGACGAAAAGAACAATTGACCTGAAATTTGGTTTAAATGCCACACATCAACCAAAGGGCTATGAAAACATTTAATGCTCACATCATGAGGCTTTGGGGGAGAGCAGGGCATGCTTCCAAATGGGTCTGGAACTATCTTGAGCAAACAAAAAAGGAGCTACTGGCTTTGTTGATTGGATAGAAAGATGGACTGGGATGTAGGTTCCCATGTGCAGTCCAGACCTTGTGTGGTTTTAACTTTCCACCAGCATTAAAAGAAAGACTTCAAGCCTTTTTATCAGCTGGCCCACATATGGGGCAAGAGAGGAAGAGGGAGTAGTGGAGTTTGAAAGAGTCAGCAGCCAAGCATCAAAAGTGATGTTACATACTTTATTTACACCTTTAAATCCACCCTAGTCGTTGCATGTATTAATAGTTCATTTTGTTGCTGGATAGTTTTCCATTTTATGGTTACTTCATGGTGTGTTTATCCACTTACCCACTAAAAGATGTTTGGTTGTTTCTAGCTTTTGGCTATTACAAACATAGCTTTTATGAGCATTTGTATAAATGTTTTTATGTGAATATAAGTTTTCACTTTTCTACGATAATTACCTAGGAGTGCAATTGCTTGTTTTATGAGAAATATATGTCTAACTTTATGAGAAACTACTAAACCACATTCCAAAATGGCTATTCTATTTTACATTTGCACCATCAATGCATGAAACATTGAATTGGAGAGTTTTAAGTATGACAACCACATTGATTTATACTTCTAATGATCCCATTAGCTACCCAGTGAAAAATGGGTAAGGAAGAGTTAGGGGCAATACTAGGATAAGGGAGACTAGTTAGGAGACTATTGTAGTAATCCAGGTAAGAGATGATTATGGCATGTACAGAATGATGGTAGTAGAGGTACAGAGGAGTAGATAAATTCAATATATTTGTTGTAAAAAAAGTCAATGAATTTGGTAATATGCGTGATATTTTGTTGTGGTGGTTGAGGGGAAAAGAAAAATCAAAAAATTAAGATTTTTAGGTGGAGCAATCGGATAGCAAATAGTGGCTTTACTGACATGGAGAAGATGGAAGAAGGACAGTTTATGGAGGGAATCAGTTGTTATATTTTGGCCATTTTACGTTTCCAGTGCCTTTTTTCCATGTGAAAATGCTAAGGAATCAGGTAAAATTGTTAGTAAAAGTCAGAGCTGGAAATAGATATTTGGCAGTAATTGACATATAGAGAGGTCTAACCAGGTTTGAATTTTTCCATTCAAAAACAACAAAGAGAGAGGGGTTGGATACTTCATGTTTTTATGACACAATATAAAAAATAGACCATACTGACAGGGTAAAAGTGGTGTGTAGGACATAAGAAGAGTAAAGAAAGTGAAAAAATAACATCAAAAAATTGACGACCACAATGAGTTGTATAATTGGCAAAGTGGAAGTGGCATTTTGCTAATTCCTCCCAGTGATATGGAAGGACAGGAAGCAGTGGTCATTGAATGTAATTCAGGAGTCAGAAACCACCATTTCAGGATATACATGTCCAGTATATTTCCAATCTCAATTCTTGACTAAGGTGAGGTGTTGTTATAATCTAGGATGATATAATGGCTAATTTTGGCTATAATTGCGAATTAGCTATAATGGCTAATTTTATGTGTCAATTTGGTTAGGCTATGATGCCTGGATACTTAGTCAAACATAGTATAGAAGTTTCTATGAAGGTATTTTTTAGATGAGATTGACATTTAAATCAGTGCACTTTGAGTAAAGCACATTACCCTCTATAATATGAATGGGCCTCATCCAATCACATAAAAGCCTTAATAGAAAAAGACTGAACTCTCCCAAGCAAGCGTGAATTCTGCCAGCCAACTGTCTTCAGACTCTCTCCAGCCTGATGGTGTATTCTGCAGATTTTGGACTTGCCAGCCTCCACAATCGTGTGTGCCAGTTCCTTAAAATAGATCTCCCTCTCTATGTACACATTCTATTAATTCTTTTTCTCTGAAGAACTGTAACTAATACAGATGCCTCTCCCTCTTTTTAGATGGCCATCAACCCACAGTTTTGAAGCTAATTCTGAAACTTTAAAACAACTTGATATTGCTGTGGCCTACGTATACACTCACAAGTAAAGGAGAGTTAAAAACTCTCCAATGCTGTTTGTGAAAATATTTCGAGATCACTTTCTGTTTGCTGCTGTCTTGCTTGATTCTTAAACTCTTTGTTCTTTGTTCCATCATCCATTTGGAATCCTGCCTCCAGCCTGGGATTGTCCACTCCAGTCAGCCTCTTGGATCTCAACCTCTAACTAAGGGGCACTCCAGCTCAGGGGAAGAACTATCTCTGGAGCCTTTCTACAAGAAATCTCTAATTTTGACCCCCATCTCTACTCTGTCTTCTCCCAATATTTGGGAATATGTTCCTTCATGACTACTCTGGTTATTTTACCTGACTGTTTTGTTCCGTTCGAATTGAGTACCATCCCTGCTATCCCTCTTTACCTTCCAGGCTCACATCCATCACAACTCACTTCCATCTTTTATTTACTCCCACTAAGGCAATCCTCTAAGTCCTCCCAACTTTCCTATCAGGAATCAAGCATAGTCACACCACACACACACACACACACACACACACACACACACACACACACAGAGTGCTTATTTATAAAAATGATCAAAATTATTTTATTTTCTATATTCGTGTCCTTATGTTATTGTCTCTTTATATATTTGTTTTTGATGCTCTATAGTTTGTTTTCCAGAAGAAATCCCTAGAAGAACTCATAGAAACAATATTCCCTGAGTTATTTGTTATACATAATAATTTATTTTCCATCTTTATATTTGGAAGTCAATTTGTCTGGATTAAAATATCTTTTGATTCCATTTTCTTTCCTTGGGAATATTAAAAGTATCACTATATTTTCTTCTAGAAACAACACTTCTTCAACTGTTGTTGTAGAAAAGACTGATGATAAACTGATTTTCCTTCACTTATAAGTGTTGTGGCAACTTTGCTGGGATACTCAGAAGTGTTTTTGTTTGTTTTTCTTTTTCTTCTTCTTTAAAGTTTAGAAATTTTACTAAATATATCTCAGTATTGGTCATTCAGGGTCAATTTTCCTTAAGTATAAAACTAGCCTATTTAACACATAATTTTAAACCTGTTTTTTTCTTTTCAGAAAAAAATACTTAGAATTATAATTTTTACTCTTGAATCTGTTTCTATAATTTTTGTCATTCTTCTGAGATACCTAATATATCATGCTGAATCTTCTTGCATATCCTTAAATTTACTACTTCCTCTCAAATCCTTTTTATGTTTCTTCATCTTTGTTTTTGCATTATTATTCACTCTCCATTCCTTCATAGTTAATTTTGATTGTAAAATGATTGTTTACATTTTATTGATAATTCTTTACTAAGATCTAAGACATGTCCAAGAGTTTCTAATTATGACTTATATACATTGTGTCATTATCTTTACATAATTTATCTTTCATTGATATATAATTCTCATCTTTTTCTGGCATGTTTTCACTGAGGTAGAAATATTATTCTACTACTTATTCTCTTTTTCTTATAAGAACTTTTATATGATTTTCAAAATTCTTTTGTTATTCATTATATAAGAAATTCATTTTTGTATGCTTTGTGGCTCTAGAGTATCCTTTTCTGTTGTTTTGGTGTGATGTTCAAACTATGCTTCCTTATTTCCTGATGGCTCCTAATCGTGTTTCTGTCTTTCACTTTTTATCTTAGACTTTCTTTTGTCTAGATTGTACCACTCCTCAGTGTGGAGATTTTAATGAAAGGACACTTTGAATGACTGACTTGGAGAGGTCGTTTGACTCAGAGCATTCATCTCCTTTAGGGCTTAAACCAACCCCTAGCAGTCACTCGCTTTTGGAGTTTGCAAAGCCTCTAGGCTTCTGCAGTTGCTTTCAAGTTGGCTGTGAGGCTCCAGTGAGCATATTTTTATTCATGTATCTTCTTGTGTGTGTATTGGGGATTATCAATGAAATGGTATCTCATCGTGGTTTTGATTTGCATTTTTCTACTGATAAGTGATGTTGAGCTTTTCTTCATATATTTGTTGGCTGCATGGATGTCTTCTTTTGAGAAATGTCTGTCCATGTCCTTTGTAAGGACTTACTTTTTTTTAAGTCTTACATTGTTCTGAATTATGAATCATCTCACCACCTCCAGTGAGTTGAGTGATTGTGTCTTATTCTTCTTTTAAAAATTTATTTTATTGTATATATAGAAGGTATCCACATGATGTTTTAATGGTTTTATATAGTTTATATACATAGTTTATAAATTGTCATTGCATGTAAAACAAATTAATATATCCATCACCTTCCATAGTACCATTTTATCTGTGGTAAGAACATTTAAAATCTATTCTCTTAGCAAATTTTCCGTATGCAATACAATATTATTAACTATTGTCCTCATGCTATACAATAGATTTTTGTACTTAGGTAGAATAAATAAGGCAATAATGGTAATAGTAGTAACCTACTTCTCACCATTTTTTCCCCTCCCTGCCCCTGGTAACTACATTTCTACTCTCTGTTTCTATTTATCCAACACCACTTTGTTAGATTCCACATATGGGTGAGATCATATAGTATTTTTCTTTCTGTGGCTGGCTTATTTCACTTAGCATAATGTCCTCTGGGTTCAACCATGTTGTTGTAAATGGTGGTATCTCTTTTTTAAGGCTAAACAATATTCTGTTGCATAAATGTATATAACATATGTTTTTAATCCAGTCATTTGTTGATAGGCACAGATTATTTCTATACCTTGGCAATTGTGAATAACACTGCAATAAACATGAGAGTGCAGATATCTCTATAAGGTGCTAATTTCATTTCCTTTGGACATACAGGCAACAGAGGGATTCCTGGGTCATCAGGCAGTTTTACTTGTAATTTTTCGAGAAATCTCCATACTGCCTATACCAATTTACATTTCCACCAAAAATACCTAAGGGTTTTCTTCTCTTTACTTCCTTGCCAATATTTATTTTTTGTCTTTTAGACAGCAGCTATCTTAAATGGTACTAGATAATTTCTCATTGTGGTTTTAATTTTCATTTCCCTGATGATTAATTACGCTGAGCACCTTTTCATATACCTATTGGTCATACGGATTTCTTCTTTTAAGAAATGTCTATTCAGACTCTTTGCATTTTTAAAATCAGTTTATTTGGTTTTTTACTCTTGAGTTGTGTGAGCTACTTATACATTTTGGATATTAACCCCTTATAAGATATATGGTTTGAAAATATTTTCTCCTAATCCAAAGGCTGCCTCTTTTTAATTTTTAGGTTCAAGGGATACATGTACAGGGTTGTTACATGGATGTTTTGCATAATGTTGGGATTTGGGCTTCTGTTGAACTCATCACCACCACATAGGGAACACAGTACCCAATAAGTAGGTTTTCAACTCTTGTCCCCTCTCTCCCTCTCCCAGTTTGGAGTCCCCAGTGTCAATTGTTTCCATCTTTATGTCCATGTGTTCTCCTTGTTTAGCTTCCACTTATAAGTGAAAATATGCAGTATTTTATTTTCTGTTTCTGCATTAATTCACTTAGGATAATGGCCTCCTGCTGCATCTATGTTGCTGCAAAGGACATGGTTTTGTTTCTTTTTGTTGGCTGTGTAGTATTCCATGATGTATATGTACCACATTTTCTTTATCTAATCCACTATTGATGCACACCTAGGTTGGTTCTATGACTCTGCTATTCTGAATACTATTGTGATAAACA
The DNA here is from genome assembly GCF_000001405.40 of Homo sapiens. NCBI lineage: Eukaryota > Metazoa > Chordata > Mammalia > Primates > Hominidae > Homo > Homo sapiens. The sequence continues at coordinate 107,295,906 of NC_000010.11, read as the reverse complement.
TATGAGTGCAGGTGTCTTTTTGGTAGAATGATTTCTTTTCCTTTGGGCAAATACCCAGTAATGGGATTCCTGGGTCAAATAATAGTTCTAGTTTTAGTTATTTAAGAAATCTCCAAACTACTATCCACGGGGATTGAACTCATTTACTTTCCCATCAATAGTGTACAAATGTTCCTTTTTCTCTACATGTTCACTGTTATTTTTTACTTTTTAATATATCCATTCTGACTGGTGTGAGGTGGTATCTCATTGCAGTTTCAATTTTCATTTCTCTGATTATTAGTGCCGTTGGGCATTATTTCATATGTTTGTTGGCTGCTTGTATGTCTTCTTTTGAGAAGTGTCTGTTCATGTTCTTTGCCCACTTTTTAATGGGGTTATTTGATTTTTCTTGTTGCTTTGTTTAAGTTTCTTATAGATTTTGAATATTAGTCCTTTGTCAGATGTGTAGTTTGCAAATATTTTCTCCCATTCTATAGGCTGTGTTTATGCTGTTGATAGTTTATTTTGCTGTGCAGAAGCTTTTTATTTAAATTAGGTCCCAATTGTCAATTTTTGTTTCTGTTGCATTTGCTTTTGAGGTTTTAGTCTTAAATTATTTGCCTAGGCCAACGTCCAGAAGAGATTTTTCTAGTTTTCTTCTAAGAATTTTATAGTTTTAGGTCTTACATTTAGATATTTAATTCATCTTGAGTTAATTTTCATATATGGTGAAAGGTAAGGGTCCAGTTTCAATGTTTTGCATGTGGCTAGCTAAGGCTGCCTTTTTAATTTTGTGGTTTGTTTCCTTTACTGTGCAGAAGCTTTTAGTTTGATTCAATCCCACATGTTTGTTTTTACTTTTGTTATCCGAGCTTTGGCTGTAATATCCAAATAGTCATTGCCAGGGCCAATATCAAGGACAATTTCCCTTTTGTTTTCTTTTAATAGTTTTACAGTTTTGGGTCTTATATTTATGTCTTTAATCAATTGAATAAAAGTAGAAATCAATAACAGCAAGAACATGGGAAAATTAATCAACATGTAAAAACTAAATAACACACTCTTGAACAGCCACTGGGTCAAAGAGGAAATCAAAAGAGAATTTTAAAAATATCTAGAGACAAAAATTAAGACACCGTCTAGAAAAAACTCATGGGATGCAACAAAAGCAATAATAAAATGGATGTTTATAACAATAAACAGTTACATTAAAAAAGAGAGAGAGAAAGACCGTAATTCCAGCACTGTAGGAAGCAGAGGCAAGAGGATCGCTTAAAGCCAGAAGTTTGAGACTAGCCTGTGCAACACAGTGAGACCTTGTCTCTATCAAAAATTAAAAAGTTAGCCAAGAGTGGTTATGTGTGCCTGCAGTCTCAGCTATTCATGGGGCTAAGGTAGGAGGATTGCTTGAGCCCAGGAGATCAACGCTGCAGTGAGCTATAATCATGCTCATGCACTCCAGCCTGAGTGACAGAGCAAGATCTGTCTCTATAAAAGGAAAAAACAAAACAAAACAAACAAAAAAAGAATGAGCTTATATAAACAACCTACCTTTATACCTCAAAGGAATAAAAAAAGAAGAAACTAAACCAAAAGTTAGCAGAAGGAAGAAGATAATAAATATCAGAGCAGAGATAAATTGAGAATTTTTAAACTATAGAAAAAAATCAATCAAACTATAATTGGTTATTTGAAAAAATAAACAAAATGGGAAACTTCTCAGCTAGACTAACTAAGAAGAAAAAAGAAAAGAAATAAATAACACCAGAAATGAAAGAAGCGACATAACAGAATAAATAGGATCATAAGTAAAAGGATCATAAGGAACTATTATGAACAATTATAATGCCAATAAATTGGAAAGCCTAGAGGAAATAGATGAATTCCTAGAAACATACACCATCCAAGACTGAATCATGAAAAAAAAAAACTAGAAACAGACCAATAGCAAATGAAAAATTGCAGTAGTAATAAAAAAAAAAACCTCCTAAGAAACAAAACCCAAGGACCAGATGGCTACACAGCTGAATTCTTCCAAACATTCAGAGAAGAATTAGTACCAATCCTTGTTAACTCTTCCAAATAATAGAATTACAGAAAATACTTCCAAACTCATTTTGTGCAGCCAGCATCACCCTGATAGTAAAGTGTCTAATGCATTTTTAGCTGCCCAATTACATTCTGTATGGCTGTAGAACTGTCTCTCTGATAATTCTAAAGATTATAGACATAACTAGACATCTACTCTATGCCAAGTACTGTTCTTGATGTAAGAGACTATAAAGGTGCAAATGCTATATTTGCTGTTATTGGGCAGACAGACTTGTACGCTCGAATTTGGTCATTTTAAGCAACTTCAGATAAAGTAAATAACTTGACATACGTTATAAATATTTTTCTTTTGTGTTATTTTTCTTCACCTAAAACTTCTGTGAAAGCATTGACTACATCCTAATCAACTCTGCATCCTTCAAAGTGCCTAAAAATATATTTTTTGTTCAAATAATCATCATGTTGGTAAGACAACAGCAAAATAACTGAAAATTTTTAACATTATGGAGATACAATAAATATACAACACAACAATTCAGAAATGATCCTAAATATTTATTTCTCTGAATTTCATTTTTAAAGACCATGTTAGAAATAGAACTCTTATTTCTTCCTTAAATGTACCTGGCAACCTTATGGGAAAGTAGCAAAAAAAAAGCAATGAAAACCCACTGAAACATTAAGAAAAACCTTACAAACACACAGGAATACGAAGTGCTTATAGTGAGAGAGGTTGGGGTGAAGACTGTTCCTTTTCCTGCTATTTTGCAGTAGCTTTATTTATTTTTCAGAAATGGGACTTCAGCCCGATGGTTAGTAAGAGGAAAAAAAATGTGGTATTGGTTAGGCAATAGGCAGTGAGGTCCAAGAAGCAACAGGTGTTTGTTTTGAATTTATATTGTAAAACAGCACAATACATGACCTACTGGGGCATTTTGAAAAGATTCTACTATCATTAATAATCACATCTCATAGAGCATCAGAAAGCCTTTACTTCCTTGCTTCATCCCTTCACTTAAAATTGATAGTTTTGCTTTCAGATTTCTCTCTTGGAGTATACCCGGTGATTTTAAACACTCTATTTGCTGTTTCCTTTGAAATGCATTTTTCTTTGAAATCCAAAAAAAAAAAAAAAAATCTTCTATTTTACTTTGTGACAACTTCTAAAACAGACAAGGTTAGCAATTTAAAATAGTATGTGCTGCCCCACTGCCCATTTTAAAATTCTCCAGTGACCCTACATAGTGAATTACTAGTTTTCTTTTCTATGGATTTTAGGATTTCCCCATAAAGTAATTTTATTAACTCCAAACACATGTTTAAGGTCTAATGGCCCTATTTTACTTCCTACTAGTGCCAAAATAATGTCCTTTCCAAAGAATTTTGGACTTGGGGTGGAGCAAGATGGTGGAATACAAGGCTCCATCTATTGTACCACCCCCACCTACAGAAACACTAATTTAACAACTATCTACACACCTTCATAAGAACCAATAATCAGGTAAGAACCCACAGTACCTCTTTTTAATTTCAAATAGCTGAAAGGGGCACTAAAGAGGTAGGAAAAACAATCTTGAATCGCCAGCAACACTCCTCTCCCATCCTCCAGCAGCAACAACTTGGTTCAGAGAGTGATTCTACGCTTTGGGAAGCAGGAGAGCACAGAAATTGTGAGACATTGAACTCACCACTGCCCTGTTATAGCAGAAAGCAAAACTGGACCGAAGTCAGCTGATGTCCACCCACGGAGAAAGCATTTAAGCCAGCCCTAGCCAGAGGTTAATTGTTGATCCCAGTGATCAGAACTTGAGTTCCTGCAAGCCTTGGAACTGCAGGCTAAAGTACTGTGGGACCCCAAATAACTTGAATGGCAGTCTAGGACACAAAGACTACAACTCCTAGATGACTCCTAGTGCTGCACTGGTCCAGAGCCAGTGGACAGGGAGAGATGCATGTGACCTACTGAGACAACTGCCAGGGTGGCCAAGGGAATGTTGGCATTACCCCTGCCCTAACCCTAGGCTGCACAGTTTGTGGCTCCAAAAGAGACCCCTTCCTTCTGCTTGAGGTGGAGAGGGAAAAGTGGGAAGGACTTTGTCTTGCATCCTAAATACCAGTTCAGCCACAACAGGATAGGGCACCAGTCAGAGTCATGAGGCCCTACCTCCAGTACAACATTTCCAGATACACCCTTGTCCAGAAGGGAAACCACTTCATTGAAGGGAAGGACCCAGTTCTGGCAGGATCCATCATCTGCTAACTGAAGAATCTTTGGGCCCTGAGTAACCATTAGCAATACACAGGTAGTACACAGTGGGCCTTGGGTGAGATTGTGTGACTTGCTGACTTTAAGTGAGAGACTCAGCACATTTCCAGCTACTACTTCCTCTGCTTGAGAAAAGTGAAGGGAAAAGTAAAGGGGACCCTATCTTCCACCTTAGGTACCAGCTCGGCCACAGTGGGTAGGGCACAAAGCAGACTCTTGGGGTCCCTGATTCCAGGACTTGGCTCTTAAATGGCATTTTTAGACCTGCTCTGGGCTAGAGGGGAGACCACTGCCCTGAAAGGTGAGTCCCAGGCCAGGCAGCATTCCCCACAAGGTGAGGAAAGTGCTCTTGGGCCTTAAGAAAACATCAACAGTAGTCTGGCAATACTCCACATGGGCCTGTGGTGGTGGTGTACATGGGTGCACCTCTGCCTTCGGAAAGGGGAGGGAAAATTGGGAAGGACTGTGTCTTGTGTTCTGACTGCCAGCCAAGCTGCAGTACAATAGAACAACAGATAGACTTCTAAGGTATTTTACTTTAGTGCCTGGCTCCTGAACAGCACCTCCAGACCCATCCAGGGCCTAAGGGAACCCACCCTCCTGAAGAGAAGGACACAGGCCTGGCTGACATTGCCACTGGCTCATCGTAGAGCCCCTACACCTTAAACCAACCAGGGAGTGGTTACAGCAAGCCTTGGGTGACACCCAGTGCTGAGTTGGCTTGAGGTCTGACCAAGCACAGACGTAGTGGTAGTGGTCACAGGGGTGCTTGTGTCACGCTATCTGCAGATCCAGGTGGCTCAGAATAGAGAGAAGCTCTGTTTGTTTGGAAGAAAATAACAGTAGGGAACAAGAGACTCTGCCTCATAATCCAGACAAGTTTTATGGATCTCTTCAAAGATCATCAAGGCGGTACCTCCATGAGTCTGCAAGAACCATAAAATTTCTGGGTTTGAGGTGCCACCTAAAGCAGATACTCCTCAGATAACAACAGTGAAGTTCTTCTGATATCTGGAAAGCCTCCCCAGGGACAAGTACAAACAAACCCAAACTACAAAGACTACAATAAATACCTAACTCTTCAATGCCCAGACACAAATAAACACCTAAAAGTATCCATACCATCCCAGAAAACATGACCTCACCAAGTGAACTAAATAAAGCACTGGGGTCAATCCAGGAGAAATAGAGATATGTGAACTTTAATGCAGAGAATTCAAAATATGAAACTCAAAGAAATTCAAGATAACACAGAGAAGGAATTCAGAATTCTATCAGATAAATTTAACAAAGAGATTAAAATAATTGAAAAGAATCAAGCAGAAATTCTGGAGGTAAAATTGCAATTGACACAATGAAGAATGCATTAGAGTCTTAATAGCAGAATTGATCAAGCAGAAGAAAGAATTGGTGAACTTGAAGACAGGCTATTTGAAAATACATGGCCAGAGAAGACAAAAGAATAAGAATTTTAAAAAATGAAGCAATGAAGCATGTCTATAAGATCTAGAATATAGCCTCAAAGGGAGAAACCAAAGAGTTATTGGCCTAAAAGAAGAGGTAAAAAAAAGAGATAGGTGGCTCACCCCTGTAATTCCAGCACTCTGGGAGGCCGAGGCTGGCGGATCACCTGAGGTCAGGAGTTTGAGACCAGCCTGGCCAGCATGGTGAAACCCCATCTGTACTAAAAATACAAAAATTAGCTGAGCATGGTGGTACACTCCTGTAATCCCAGCTACTCAGGAGGCTGAGACAGGATAATTGCTTGAACCCAGGAGACGGAAGTTGCAGTGAGCTGAGATCGCGCCACTGCACTCAATTCTGGGCAACAGAGTGAGAATCCATCAAAAAAAAGAGAGAGAGAGAGATAGGGTAGAAAGTTTATTTTAAAAGATAATAACAGAGAATTTCCCAAATCTAGAGAAATACATCAATATTCAACTACAGGAAGATTCTAGAACACCAGACAGATTTAACCCAAAGATTCCTTTAAGGCATTTAATCAAAATCCCAAAGTGCAAGGATAAAGAAAGGATCCTAAAAGCAGCAACAGAACAAATGGACATAATAGATATTTACAGAACATTGTATCCAACAGCTGCAGAATACACATTCTTTTCCTCAACACATGGATCATTCTCAAAAATAGACAATATGTTAGGTCACAAAACAAGTCTTAAAACATTCAAAATAACTAAAATAATTTTAAGCATCTTTTCTGACCACAATGGACTAAAACTAGAAATTATTCATGAAAGGAGTTTTAGAAACTGTACTATTACATGGAAATTAACATGATCCTGAATAACCAGTGGGTCAATGAAGAAATTAAAAAGGAAATTGGAAAATTTCTTGGAAAAAATGATAATGGAAATACAACATACCAAAATTTAGGGATACAGCAAAACCAGTACTAAGAGGAAAATGTATACCTATAAGTGCCTACATCAAATAAAGAAGAAAAACTTCAAATAAAAAACCTAAGGATGCATCTTAAAGAACTGAAAAAGCTAGAGCAAACTGAACCTAAAGTTGGTAAAAGAAAAAGATCAGAGCAGAATAAATAAAATTAAAATGAAGAAAATACAAAAGATCAATAAAACAAAAAGTTGGTTTTTGAAAAGTTAAGCAAAATTGACAAACCTTTTGCCAGACTAAAAAAAAAAGAGAGCAGATGCAAATAAATAAAATCAGAGACAGGAAGGGAGACGTTACAACCAATACTGCAGAAATGCAAAGTATCATTAATGGCTACTATAAGCAACAATATGCCAATAAGTTGGAAAATCTAGAAGAAATGGACAAATTCTGAGACACATACAACTGATAAAGATTGAACTAGGAAGAAATCTAAAACTTGAATAGACCAATAACAAGTAATGAGATCAAAGCCATAATAAAAAGACCAGAACTCAATGTCTTCACTGCTGAATTCTATGAAACATTTAAAGAAGAATTAATACCAATCCTACTCAAAGTATTTCCAAAAAATGAAGAAGGCCAAGATGGTTCAACATACACAAATCAATCAATGTGATACATTGCATCAACAGAATGAAGGATAAAAACTATATTATTTTTTCAACTGATGCTGAAAAAGCATTTGATAAAAATTCAACATTTCTTCATGATGAAAACCCTCAAAAAACTGGGGATAGAAGGAACATATCTCAACATAATAAAAACCGTATATAATAAACTCACAGCTAGTATCATACTTAATTGGGAAAAACTGAAAGCCTTTCCCCTAAGATCTGGAACATGATAAGGATGCCCAATTTTACCTTGATTATTCACCACATTCTGGAGGTTCTACCTACAACAATCAGACAAGAGAAATAAATAAATGAAATCTTAATTGGAAAGGAAGAAGTCAAATTAGCCTTGTTTGCAGACGATATGAGCTTATATTTTTTTTAAAAAAACATAAAGCCTGTCCAAAAAATGTATTCAAGCTGATAAACAAATTCAGTAAAGTTGCAACATACAAAATCAACATATAAAAATTAGTAGCATTTTGTAGGTTAATAAATAGTGAACCATCTGAAAAGGAAAGCAAAAATAATTTCATTTACAATAGTCACAAATAAAATTAAATACCTATGAATAAACCTAACCAAATAAGTGAAATATTAGCTATAATGAAAACTATAAAGCACTAATGAAAGAAATTGAAGAAGACACCAAAAAAATGGAAAGAGGTTCTATGTTCATGAATTGGAATAATAAATATTGTTAAAATGTCCATGGTGTGCAAAGCAATGTGCAGATTCAATGCAATCTCCATCAAAATACCAATGACACTCTTCACAGCAATAGAAAAAAAATCCTAAAATTTTTGAAACCACAAAAGACCCAAAATAGGCAAAGCTATCCTAAGCAAAAAAGAACAAAACTCAAGGAATCATATTACCTGACTTCAAATTATACTACAGAGCTATCATAACCAAAACAACATGGTACTGGCATAAAAACAGACATATCAACTGATGGAATAGAATAGAGAACCCAGAAACAACATCACACACCTACAGTGAACTCATTTTAGACAAAGTTACCAAAAACATACACTGGGTAAAAAGACAGTCTCTTCAAAAAATGGTGCTGGGAAAACTGGATATCCGTATGCAGAAGAATGAAACCAGACCCTTATCACTTGCCATACACAGACATCAAATACAAATGCAATAAAGGCTTAAACGTAAGACCTCAAACTATGAAACTGATGCAAGAAAACATTGGAGAATCTCTCCTGGACACTGGTCTGGGCAAAAGTTTCTTAAATTAAACCCCACAAGCACAGGCAACCAAACCAAGAATGGACAAATGGGATCACATCAAGTTAAAAAGCTTCTGCACAGTGAGAAAACAATCAAAAGAGTGAAGAGACAACCCACAGAGTGGGAGAAAATATTTGCAAACTATCCATCTTACTAGGGATTAATAACTAGAATATATAAGCAGATCAAACAACTCTATAGGAAAAAAATCTAACAGTCTTATTTTAAAATGGCCAAAAGATTTGAATAGACATTTCTCAGAAGAAGACATACAAATGATCAACAGGCATCTGAAAAGATGCTCAACATCGTTGATCATCAGAGAAATACAAATCAATGCTACAGTGAGATGTCATCTCACCTCAGTTAAAATGGTTTATATCCAAAAGAAAAGGAATAACAAATGCTAGTAAGTATGTGGCAAAAAGGGAACTCTTATACACTGTTGGTGGGAAAGTAAATTAGTACAACCACTATGAAGAACACTTTGGAGATGCCTCAGAAAACTAAAAATAGATATGATCCAGCAATCCCACTCCTGGGTATATACCCAAAACAAAGGAAATCATTATAACAAAGAGATATCTGCTCTCCCATATGTCTGTTGCAGCACTATTCACAGTAGCCAAGACTTGAAAGCAACCTAAATGTCCATCAACAGACAAATGGATAAAGAAAATGCGGTACATATACACAATGAAGTATTTTTCAACCATTTAAAAGAATAAGATCCTGTCATTTACAACCATATGGATGGAAGCAGAAGTCGTTATGCTAAGTGAAATGAGCCAGGCACAGAAAGATATACATCACGTGTTCTTACTTGTTTGTGGAACATAAAAATGAAAATAACTGATCTTATGGAGATGGTAGCGGGATAGTTTTTAGAGACTGGAAGGGTGGTAAGGGGCTGAGGGGAGGTGGGGATGGTTAATGGGTACAAAAAAAATAGTTACAAACAATGAGTAGTATTTGATAACACAACATAGTATTTGATAGCATAACAGGGTGACTACAGGCAATAATAATTTAATTGTACATGTCTACATAACTAAGAGTATAATTGGATTGTTTATAACACAAAGGATAAATACTTGAGGGGATGGATACCTCATTTTCCATGTGATTACTATGTATTGCATGCCTGTATCAAAACATCTTGTGTACCTCATAAATATACACACCTACTATGTACCACAAAAATTAAAAACAAAACTTTTTACAAAATCCTACCCATCTTTTGTGCCTCTAACCATCTCTCATATTTGACAGGCAATGCCACAATTGAACCTGTAAGACTCTGGGACATTGACAACAGTCATCTAGTTTCCGTTTTCTGTTATAGTGCCCCTCTTGCCTTGAGCAAAGTTTGGGCAGCATGGAAATATTGAGCGAAAACCAAGTGGACATCCTCATGGATGCATTTCCAGACTTCTCGTCAGTCATTCTAGAAGAGATTATATATAGGAGGAAGGCCCAGTTGAATTTAGGTTTTGTGGGGCCTAAACTAACAAAATTTTGTGAACAATTTTAAGAAAAATAATCCAAAAGTACTAATGACAATTGGATTAAAAAGTAAGTCTTTTTTAAAATAAGAAAACAGGGGCTTTGTTTTGATGTGTGTTTAGCAAGGTCTTCAGTCCTGCATCCTTTAAACAGAAGTTCTGGGATGGGGAATGGAATGGAATGGAATGGAATGGAATGGAATGGAATGGAATGGAATGGAATGGAATGGAGAAAATGTTATTCACTAAAAAATTTCTTAGAGGAATGTTTCTTGGCTAGAAGGAAAGGCTCCAAGTGCAAACTCAAGTTAACAAACATAGTCACTGGGCTGTTTTATTAGGTCAAGGAAGAAAATGTGTGGCTGACAGACAGTAGAAGATGAATAGAAAAAGAAGAAATGAAGAGGCATGCTAGAATATTCTAGTCTTGTCCCTGGTGGAAGATTGAACAAAAATATCTTTTAGGAGAACATAATTTCTAATAGGTGGGTTTTAGATTGTTTTTCTGGAAAACATACACTATAGAATGATGCCTATCCCCTCAGTCTATCTTTACCTCTCCCATGAGGACTTCAGCACAGGCTGCTTTGCTCACTAATCTAGCACAGGAGAACCAGAGGAAGTGCTTTTTATGCATCTAGAATGTCAACATCAACAGACATGGGCCAAGCATAAGCTGCATCTTACACTGTAAAACCAGAATAAGTATGAGAGAATCATGGAGGAAATGAAGCAATAAAAGATGAGAAATTTTTTCTGTGTTAGATTAATACAGAAGCATTTTGTTTTACCTCTTATTATTCCCCATTTTACCAATGGAGAAAAAAAGTAAAATTTAAGAGTATGTGTGTGTTACATAGGCTAGATTATATTTGTCCCAGAGCACAGGTCTTTTGACTCCAAGTCTAGCATGCTATATGTGGCTAACCATTTTCATTCTGATTAGCTTAATGAATCCCTATTCTTTTCTCTTGGAGATAAAAGGAATATGTATACCTACACTAAGATCTAAGCATTGGCATCTACTGAGTATCTATAGATAGAGCCAGCAGAAGCCCCTTGGCATCTGACTTTTGTCTGAGTTACAAGCCAGTGGAGCCTTGGCATGAAGACATGAGCATTCTGTTGCCTATTCTCTATATCCAGCTTGTTCTGGTGCCCAAGCATGTCTTTATCAAGTGTGGAATTGACTTGGAAAAATAAAACTTTGATGAGACCCTTCTCAATAATGCTATATGTTTCTATGTGTTTCACATTTAATGATTAAAGAGAAAGGAAAAGAAAGATACTCACATTTCTTTTGTTTTTCATTTGGTTGACCAGAACTCATTATTATTTAAATGTCTTTCTAGGTGTTCTGACAGTTTTCATGAACACAATAAAATGCTGAGGCATTCTGTCTCCTCTGTCTGACAGCCATCTCCTTTTTGAAAGCTTGTCGGTGACTCATCTCAGCTGTTCTTTGTCTCACTGTATTACCATCTATTCAGGCCTAAGAGAAAGACACATCAAGCAAGGTGTAGATTTTGACGAGGTGGCCTAGGACAAGAAATCCAACTGTGTTTTCAGGTTTTCTGGGTCAGAGAAACACAGGTCAAACTTGATGGAAGCAAGGCTGGAGAAAGCTGGTAAATAAAGAACCTTTATACATCACTTGAAGTCCTTTTGCCATTTGTAATTTTGAGATTCCCATTTTCTCTCTGTATAGAAAAGTTTTCAATCTGCAATTAAGAAAACATTGGGTTTATCAGGTTTCTATGTTGTCATGCCTTTTACACTTCTGAATGTTTTTTCTTCAGCCAAAAGTTTACCATTGTATCTTCTTAATCCTTCCAGAGGTTCTTTTTATCTATCTATCTATCCATCCTCACACTTTATGTTTGGGGATACATGTGCAGAACGTGCAGGTTTGTTACATAGGGATACACATGCCATGGTGGTTTGCTGCACCACAAACCTGTCATCTACATTTAGGTATTTCTCCTAATGCTGTCCATCCCCTATCCCCCGACCCCGCTACAGGCCCGGGTGTGTGATGTTCTCCTCCCTGTGTCCATGTGTTCTCATCGTTCAACTCCCACTTATGAGTGAGAACATGCAGTCTATTTTGTTTTCTGTTCCTATGTTACTTTGTTACTTTGCTGAGAATGATGGTTTCCAGCTTCATCCATGTCCCTGCAAAGGACATGAACTCATCCTTTTTTATGGCTGCATAGTATTCCATGGTGCATATGTGCCAGATTTTCTTTATCCAGTCTATCATTGATTGGCATTTGGGTTGGTTCCAAGTTTTGCTATTGTGAATAGCACTGCAATAAACATGTGTGCATGTGTCTTTATAGTAGAATGATTTATAATCCTCTGGGTATATACCCAGTAATGGGATTGCTGGGTCAAATGGTATTTCTGGTTCTAGATCCTTGAGGAACCACCACACTGTCTTCCACAATGGTTGAACTAATTTACACTCCCACCAACAGTGTAGAAGTCTTCCTATTTCTCCACATCCTTTCCAGCATCTGTTGTTTTCTGACTTTTTAGTGATTGCCATTCTAACTGGAGTGAGATGGTATCTCATTGTGGTTTTGATTTGCATTTCTCTAATGACCAGTGATGATGAGCTTTCTTTCATGTTTGTTGGCTGCATAAATGTCTTCTTTTGAGAAGTGTCTGTTCATATCCTTCACTCACTTTTTGATGGGGTTGTTTGTTTTTTTCTTGTAAATTTGAGTTCTTTGTAGATTCTGGATATTAGCCTTTTGTCAGATGGATAGATGGCAAAAATTTTCTCCCATTCTTTGCCTGCCTGTTCAATCTGATGATAGTTTCTTTTGCTGTGTGGAAGCTCTTTAGTTTCGTTAGATCCCATTTGTCAATTTTGGCTTTTGTTGTCACTGCTTTTGGTGTTTTAGACATGAAGGCTTTTCCCTTGCCTATGTCCTGAACGGTATTGCCTACATTTTGTTCTAGAGTTTTTATGGTTTTAGGTCTTACATTTAAGTCTTTGATCTGTCTTGAATTAATTTTTGTATAAGGTGTAAGGAAGGGATCCTGTTTCAGTTTTCTGCACATGGCTAGTCAATTTTCCCAATGCCATTTATTAAATAGGGAATCCTTTCCCCATTGCTTGTTTTTATCAGGTTTGTCAAAGATCAGATGGTTGTAGATGTGTGGCATTATTTCTGAGGCCTCTGTTCTGTTCCATTGGTCTATATATCTGTTTTGATACCAGTACCATGCTGTTTTGTTTACTGTAGCCTTGTAGTATAGTTTGAAGTCAGGTAGTACGATGCCTCCAGCTTTGTTCTTATTGCTTAGGATTGTCTTGGCTATACAGGCTCTTTTTTGGTTCCATATGAAATTTAAAGTAGTGTTTTCTAATTCTGTGAAGAAAGTCAGTGGTAGATTTATGGGGATAGCATTGAATCTATAAATTGCTTTGGGCAGTATGACCATTGTCACGATATTGATTCTTCCTATCCATGAACATGGAATGTTTTTCCATTTGTTTGTGTCCTCTCTTATTTCCTTGAGCAGTGGTTTGTAGTTCTCCTTGAAGAGGTCCTTCATTCACATCCCTTGTAAGTTGTATTCCTGAGTATTTTATTCTCTTTGTAGCAATTGTGAATGGGAGTTCACTCATGATTTGACTCTCTGTTTATTATTGGTGTATAGGAATGCTTGTGATTTTTGCACATTGATTTTGTATCTGGAGACTTTGCTGAAGTTAGTTATCAGCTTAAAGAGATTTTGGGCTGGAACAATGGGGTTTTCTAAATATACAATCCAGTCATCAGGAAACAGAGACAATATGACTTCCTCTCTTCCTATTTGAATACCCTGTATTTCTTTCTCTTGCCTGATTGCCCTGGCCAGAACTTCCAATACTATGTTGAATAGGAGTGGTGAGAAAGGGCATTTTTGTCTTGTGCTGATTTCCAAAGGGAATGCTTCCAGCTTTTGCCCATTCAGTATGACATTGGCTATGGGTTTTTCATAAATAGCTCTTATTATTTTGAGATACATTCCATCAATACCTAGTTTAAGAGAGGAGAATCAAATAGACACAATAAAAAATGATAAAGGGGATATCACCACTGATCCCGCAGAAATACAAACTACCATCAGAGAATACTGTAAACACCTCCGTGCAAATAAACTAGAAAATCTAGAAGAAAAGGATAAATTCCTGGACACATAAACTCTCCCAAGATTAAACCAGGAAGAAATCGAATCCCTGAGTACACCAATAACAAGTTCTAAAATTGAGGCAGTGATTAATAGCCTACAAACCAAAAAAAGCCCAGAACCAGGCAGATTCACAGTCAAATTCTACCAGAGATACAGAAAGGAGCTGGTACCATTCCTTCTGAAACTATTCCAAACAATAGAAAAGGAGGGACTCCTCCCTAACTCATCTTATCAGGTCAGCATCACCCTGATACCAAAACCTGGCAGAAACACAACAAAAAAAGAAAATTTCAGGCCAATATCCCTGATGAACATCGACGTGAAAATCCTCAATAAAATACTGGCAAACCGAATCCAGCAGCACATCAAAAAAGATTAACCCCAACCATCAAGTCTGCTTCATCCCTGGGATGCAAGGCTGGTTCAACATACACAAATCAATAAACGTAATCCATCATATAAACAGAACCAATGACAAAAACCACATGATTATCTCAAAAAATGCAGAAAAGGCCTGCGATAAAACTCAACACCCATTCCAGAGGTTCTTAACAAACAGTATGACAACCACGTCATTGACTTTCTTTTGCCCTTAAGCTATGTCTTAAAGATAATGTCCACAATTTGGAATTCATCCTAAAACTTTGCATTTTAATGTCCAGATATTTGAAATGATAAAGAGATTTATTTTTTAACTTTGTAAATCTTAGAATATATGGACTGTATATATTCCTTATCAATTATATTTGCAAATTGTTTTCCTGATTTCAGTTTTTTTCTTAATGTAACTTATCAAATTCACCTAGTAGCCATCAACTAATATTTTCAATATTAAGCTTCTAAACCACCTGGCAGAATGTTCAACTTTATTAAGAATATTTTCTGTCTTCCAATTTACCACAGGTAAGAGAGAGATTTACCAAATATTTTGCCACCACATAAAATGGATTTCCACTTTCCTAGCTTCAAATCAGTGTTTTCTCACCGATTACTAACAGTCCTAAAGACAAGATTTGAGACATCTGTTACGTTAACACTTTACTTTCAGTACCAATTTCTTTATCAGTCAACTATTGCACAATAACATTACATATTACATCATGCCAAAGTGTCAAAAGATTACAACAACAAGTACTTATTCATATTTTATGGGTCTGCAAAAGGACTTTAGTCTGGGTTATGTAAACTGGCTTAGTTCCAGGTTGCAGATTTGGTTTATGTCTACTTCATGTACATTTACTCTGAGGTCCAAGCTGAAGGAACAGTGGCAATGTAGAGTACATTCTTCTAATGACAGATCACTGGAGCATAAAAGGATAACCGTCTGAGCACAGTTAAAACTTTTGCTTCTGCCATATCCATTTAAAGTCCATTAGCCAAAGTAAAGCAAATCACATGCCAATGCCCAAAGGATAGTATCCACCCAACACAAAGGCATAACAACAGTGTGAATGTTATTGTTCTTCTACAAGGAAGTGACAAATTAGAACCAACAATTTAGTCTACCATAACATCCAATACAAGTTGGGCCAATCGAAAAACTTTCATTGATATAGAACAACTACTCTTGTTCTACACAAAGAACAGCCCTTTCTACCATGTAATTAAGTGTGAGTGTAGGGGAAAAGCTAGTCTCCAGAGAATGACAAAAATGATCATATAAAGCAGAAATGTGAGAGGCCCAAGGAGCTCCCTACATGCCTAATACCTTTCCCTTTTCTGCTTCCATTCCTTCCTGAGACTCAGAACCTGTCTTCTGCCTCATTGTGACCTTCTCTTAACCTTTAAGTATATTTTAATTTTAATCTTAAACTAGCTCAAGAGGTTTTCCTACAACTTAAAACTAATTACCAATGAATACAGAGGGATATCTGTTACTGAGGGTCAAAGTCCTGTATTAGATTCTCAATGGGCACAACATCTCATCCCTGGCCAGTGTAAAACTAGACTAGAGTGTTCCTCAGGTCACTTTTAGCTTAGAAGTTCTAGAGGACGTTCCCTTGAGTGATTTGGCTGACATGGAGAATCTGTGCCTTCATCACATTAGCAAGGGTTGCCTAGTCATTGAATACCACTCCAAAAATAGATGGATAACTTAACATACTCCAGTGTTTCACAGACAACTCAAAGCGTGTATACCCTCCTGGTAAAGCATAAAGATTACCTCAGTATCCACCAAGTATCTTCTTTTTAGGTTCAGAGTAAGCACATTAATTCCAGTTTATTGTCATTTTAATGCACACACACATACACACACAAAAAAACAATAAATAAATAAATAAATAAAAATAAATATTTTTTTATAAACAATAAAAAGGAATAAACAGCCCAGTGAGTTTACTTTATAGATGAATGTCTTTGCAGTTAGCAATGAGCTGAATGTAGTACATGGCTCTGGGTTAAAATCACTTTGTTGTTTTCTAGGCACAGGACCATTCAATCAATCAACTTCACTCACTCTCCACTTCCTCAGAAAACTGGATGATGAGTTGAAGGATCATGGCCTTGGAGACATTGCTGATGAACATGGCAGAGATGCTGTCTCCCCCAAAGGACAGATAGCAACAGTCTGATATAAGCAAGATTTATTTTTCTTATTTAGTCAGAGAGCTACCCTACTGAAAGATACATGTGAGTTCCAGGTTCCTTCACACATCCCAGAACAAAATCTCCTGCAGTCTATACTGAGATGGACTATAGAGTTCTCCAGAATCTGTAGAGTTGGACTATAGAGTTATCCAGAATCAACTTATCCAGGTGTTAGATCCAGCCACTTAACAAAAGATATGGGATGGTACCAGTCTCTTTCCCTCTTGGGGTGGCAGTGTTATTTACATCAGAGTGAGTTGGATTGGAATACAATATACATAATTTACTAGTGACATGACATTAAGCAAATTACTTAACCTCTTTAAGGCTCATGTGTAAGGTGGTGATAATAATGCCTGCCCCATGAAGCTATTGCATTATAAGAAGATGATATGTGCAAAGCATTCAGCACAGTGTCTGACAAATAGTAAGATTTGTTTTTATCTCCCCTGCTATTTTCTGTTATCTTGCCTTGTTGCAGTAACATTATATATGGATACAGTATGGATGATACACCTTTTTAGGAGAAAATAAAGGCATTACGTTTTGACAGTTTAATATGTATTGATCTTTCCTTCAGCCTTATATGAGTATTCACTGGACTACAGCAGGTGTCTCCCTCTCCAGACTCTCTAAGGTATTCTGACTTATGTGCTATGTCTTCATAGAATATTAGAGAAAAAGGAGCTTTAGAGTTATTTATTTTACAGATGAAGAAAGAGACACCTGAAACGATGAAGTAGCTTGCTAAAGTCATTCAGCTAGGTGGTAGCAACACAGGATTAGACTCTATTCTAGACCACATTTCACTTTGCCATCCAACCTAATGTCTAAAAACAAAGTCACAAGTTTCTCTGGTTAGCTCTCTGCTAATTTTTTAGCTAAAACCACAATAACAAAAATATAATAACAATAATGAAATGAAAAAGGGTCTTTTTCTTTCACTTATTCTTAGCTTCAGATTATGTGCTTATATATTAAAACTAAGGTTTCACAAGCAGAAGACAGAAACACAAATAACTTTGGGTGGATTTCAGAAATTAGTGTGAACTAAATCAGTCTATAAAAACCAAATACCTTAAAAATCAATAATCTTTGAAGGATCCACCACAGAGTCCAATAAGAGAAGACAGAGGCCCTCTCAGAACCCGCAAGAACCTTAGGACCCAGGAACACTCAGCAGGGAACCTACAGTATGACTCAAAAACAAGCTTAGTTAAAACACACAGCAGTGAACAAAGCTGGACCACCTGCATGGCTGAGACCTACTATTTGATTTAAAGAAAGAAAAAAAAAAGAAAAGAAAATCCCATTGTTTTAGTTAGTCCCAGGAGAGCTATGCTGTGGTTGCTTTAACATCGCATGAGAGGGTGTCTGTATAAATTAGCCAGGCCTGAAAATTTAAAGCTGTTCAGCAGTAGGACCAAAATATATAAGAGGCATTGGTAGGATGTGCCTGGAGATTATTAGTACTGGAGGTGAGAATAATGAAATGTGACTTAGATGCAGAGAATGACTGTTTTCACACTTGACATAACTTTCAGCCATGTTTTATGCTATGCACAAAGAAAGCAAAGAGAATAGCTAAAGATGCTACATTCTGAAGATAATGACTACCAGAAGCATCAAAATCTCACTGTCTTTTGGGTAAAACAGGCAGTGAGTACAGCAGAGTCTAGGTGAAAGGAAATCTACAAGGATTGAGGACATCACAGGAAACTGGGATCATTTCCCCCAGATCCCACAGATTTGGGCTGAGCTCTGTACCTCATCTCTGATCATCTTTTATTGGATCTTTAGCCGTTCGATTTAGGTTGTTACAGTATCATGCTTGGCTAAACTTTCAATTCCAACTCATACATTTTCTAAAAATTGTGATTATAAAACCCTATTTCTGAAATAGATTCATTGTTTTCAACTGTCTCTACCACTTTGTGTGGAATGCTCTTCACCAATGCAGACTTAGTACAATAACTATTTTAAGCAATTTTTATGCTTTTGCTTACATAATTTTCAAGTTCCTGAGTCTTCCTATTAAAAAGCCCATCAAATATTTTTTACTCCCTCATATTTTTACAATACCCATGTCCTTTTATCCCAGCAACAACTCTGGAATAGATTTCTCCTCCTAAAATTACTAGCATTGCCTCTTTTTAAAATTGACACCTGTAAATGCTGGATTTTAAATTTACCAGTTCACTGTATTCACATCTTTGAATAATTCAGTTTCTGAATGTGGAGAAATTTTGCCTATCTCTAACAGGGAATCCCTTCACTCATCTAATCCAGTCTGTACATCTACATGAATTTGGATCTCTTAATTGATATATCACACCAATCCATTAACTGTAGACTACTCTGAGAAACTATTAATTTTCTCAAGACATAGGCAATTATTGTTAACCTTAACTAGTATTATAACCATTTTTTGCTGGTAAATGCTTAGCAACAGACTCTCAAAAAAAATAGCCCTGATTTCTAGTGTTGGCCACTTTTCATGATGTAAATACTCCCACCATTTCTGACTCCGTATTACATATTTGACATGAATGGACAAAGTTGATCAGAGCATACGATCAGCTCTCACAAGACAATATAACCCAGCCCCAGCACACCACTGAATAGAGTTTACTTAACAGTGCACTTTCTGCTGTAAAAAAGTAAATTTATCCTTTTTAGTGTTTACAGATTGAATTAGAAATAAAACGTACACACAATATACACAAACACAAACACATATGGACACATATATGAAAAGATACAGAAGCATAGGAGAAATTGTCCACCATCCACAACAGAAAATGTAGCTATTAAGTAGAGATATTCTATGTGTTTGGAGTGTGGGTGTTCTGTTGTATAAACAGGAATTATAACAATATACTAGCACACAGTTGGAATATTTCTTTGATGACTTAAAAAGGCAGCACACATGTTTCTATGTAGAAAATGCTTTGTTTTCTCAATTCAATTATTTTTAATGGTCTCACAAAGGTCTTTGAATTTGGGCAGTTGCTCTCCATTCATTCTCAGATGTGGTTGTAACATACAGTGACTAATCCAACAAAAAGCTGCTCATTATGTACTCTGTAGCAGCACGGCCCTAAGGACCAGTGGTACCAGACAGTGAAATAGACAGGGTTCTGTCTTCATAAAGTTTTCTTTCCAGCAGGAAAAGATACATCTGCGTGTTTAGTTATGCAATAGTGTGATTAACTATAATTGCTTTGGGGGAAACGTATAGGATCTTATGAGAACTTATGACAGAAAAACTGATCTAGTATGGGAGTAAGGGTGGTCAGAACTTTTCTCTGAGGATGTGATAATTAAGCAATAATACAATAAGTGAGGTTTCATTGGAGAAAGAGGATGGTATTGGATAGCACAGTAAAAACAAGGAAACTGCAGCATGTGGAGGCCTCTTAGGTGTGGAGGCATGTGCCACTCTTTAGGACATTGCTCATGGCCAGTGTGGACAGTATGCAGGGAAGATGGCCAGAGATGAGGCTGGAGAGACAAGCAAGGGCCAGATCAGTCACAGTCTGCTGTTAAAGATTTCGAATTTTATTCCAAAAACGACATTAGTTGTGCTAGGAGATGGAGGGAGGGTGAACAAAAGAGTAAAAGGCGGGAAAATAGGGTCTGGAGGCAGGGAACATAAGGCCAATCGATTCACACTTCAGCTGTGACAGGAAATATCCTCTCCATAGGGCGTAGACCAAGTAAATGACCTTGTAACTTCATCGTCTCCATTTACATAGGGCATACACCAAATAACCGATGGAATCCTCTAGGGGGTAAACTCCCAAAAATTCCGTAACAGGGCTTTTGAGCTCCTATGCTTGGGCCTGCTCCCACACTGGAGTGTACTTTCATTTTCAATAAATCCCTTCATTCCTTCCTTGCTTGGTTTGTGCATTTTGTCCAATTCTTTGTTCAAAATGCCAAGAACCTGGACACCTTCCACCATTAACAAAACTATGGCATCAAATGGATGTAAGATGAAACACGTCTTGATTCCTCTTAAAACATTGCTGTTTGGGGTGATATAAAGAAATATTTCATTGAACATCCCTCCCACACCTGAGTATCTTTGTACAAGCAAACCCCAAGAATGCCATCAGATGCCTTACCCTTTGTGGCACCCACCTGGAAACTCTGCTTCCCACTACCCTAATGGGTTCAGTGGGAAAGAATCTGGTGCTTTTTGTAATCTCTGGAAATGACAGAGCCTTCTTGAGTGCTACCTGCCAGCCTCCTATTAGTTGTAGAAATCTAGTACCTTGAGAACTCACAGTTTCAAAACTGAGAATAGGAGGGAGTTTTCAGGGATAGGGGAAGGGAGTGAAGTGGTTGTAGGTGAAAAAAGCAACAGATATGTTACAATTTTAAATTTGGAAGAGATAAATCTCATTCAAAACCACCTTTCTCGCTCCATTCCCCAAACTCTCCAGTGCTAATGTTCCAGTTTTTGTTACGCAGATTAACATAGGTACAAATGGATTTTTAAATGGTTAAATATCAATTTGAAGTTAACAACCTGAGACTGGACCACATGCACGGAAGTTACCAAAATCAGAACCTTGAGGTTTGTTTCACACGGAGACTGAAGAAATTAGACAGGGAATTTGCTATTGATTCTTGGCTGCTAGTGCCTCCTCAGATCCATTCGGAGAGACATGTTTATTTCTCTCTCCTCAACTCTTCCTTTCCTTTAATGTGTCCTGGCACTACCCGTCTACATTCCTTCCTCCCCTCCAGCCAAAACAAAACCAACCCAACAAACAAAATGCCACTCCCTTACCCCTGTCCTTTTTCGCTACTACTTTCTTTTCTTGCTTTTTAATTTTTATACTTATTGATCTCCTTATTGAGGTTAAACTGACTAAAAGAAAATTTCTCCAGAATTGAACATAAGAGTATCATGTCAAGAACTCCTTAATAGCTTCATTACATGGTGGAATAAGATTCCAGGAAAAATAGTAAGAGGGCAATCATGTGAATTATTTAAAACCCAGCAGGACAAAGTCATGGAAGATGTGCCACCAGAAATGTTCCAGCTTCAGCCAAATGGGAATGAAGAAAATGATCACAAAAGATTGTCTAGCCTCAGCCCCATCTTTCTCTAGGCTAAAATCTATACATCCTACTAAAATCAGCTACATGTATAGACCAAAAGATTCCTTGCTTTTTCTGCTACCACATACATTAAACTAAGGGGGAAAAAAAAGAATTATCCCTGCTTCAGTTACCAAAAAGCAGCCTAAATTCACAAGCAAAAACCTGGACTTGGGTTTTAGGATTCAAGTTCTAATTCCAGGCCTGATTCTATAGCAATTCTATGCAAATTGCATGGGGAAAGGTCAGTATATAACATTTTATGACAAACATGGTTACTTATACATCACTTCCTGCAATTCTAAGTGTCATTTATACCCACAAATGAGTAATGCTTTTTTCCATAAGAAAGTACCATTTTACAACTGCAAAGTGTCATAGCAATTACTCTGTGGTCAATTAATATTTTTGTTTGTTTGTTTTTTAATGCATCCCACCTACCAAGTCTGGCCCAAGCCAAAATCCTATGTGTGATCTTTCAGGCCTGACCACAGGCAATTACAGGGCTCTGCCTGACAGGCCTTATGGGGGAAAGCTGTACTTGCCAACGAGACCCAGTACATAGTCAGTGCACTGCAGTTCTCTGAAGGAAATTGCAGTCAAGGACTCAGGCTCAGCCAAATCCATTTAGAGACTTCCATATTGGAAGTTCCAAGGCACTTCACAGGAGCCTCTCCCAAGGCCTCTTTATCAAAGGCCTTGACTTTTCTTCACTCTGACTCAAAATTCTGTCGCTTCTTGTGGAGAAAAGGGAAGCTTTATGCACTGGTGGTGGTACTATCAATTAGTACAGTCATTTCAGAAAATAGTGTAGAGGTTTCCCAAAAAAACAAAAGTTAGAATTAACATAGGATCCAGCAATTCCCCTACTGAGTATATATCCAAAGGAATTAAAATCAGTATGTAGAAGAGATATCTGCCCTTCCCTGTTCATTATAGCATTACTCACAATAGCCAAGATACGGAAACAATTGAAGTGTGTATCAACAGATGGATTTGTAAAAATTGGTATTAAACACAGTGGAATACCATGCAGCCTCTTAAAAACAGGAAATTCTGTTGTTTGCAACAACATGGATAAACCTAGAGTACATGATGCTAAGTCAGATAAGCCAGGCACAGAGGCAAACACTGCATAATCTCACTTCCATGTGAAATCTAAAAATGTTGAACTCATGGAAGTAGAGTAGAATGGTGGTAACGAGGGGCTTTAGGAGGGGTTTGTGGACTGGGAAAGGAGAGAAGTTGGTCAAAGGGTACAAAGTTTCAGTTAGCCTGCAGGAATAAGTTCTGGTGTTCTACTGTACAGCATGGTAACTATTAATAATAATGTATTGTATATTTCAAAACAGCTAAAGGAACAGATTTAAAATGTTACCACCATCAAAAAAACAGATAAGTATTCAAGATATGAATATATCAATTAACCTGATTTGAACATTCCATAATGTATACATGTTTTGCAACATCACATTGTACCCCATAAATCTAATGAATATTATTTGACAATTGAAAATAAAATATTTTTCCACTCCTGCCTTTTCCCCCAACCCCTTCTTCTGGCCCCCTGGGTCCAGAAAAAGGCAAAAGCCTTTTCTTCATGGCTTCTCAGCAGTGAGGCGACTCCTTCATCTGCACTGCTTGTCATCCAATCCTAGCCTGGTGCCATTCCATGGGGAAAAGCGAAACACTGAGGATCTGGAACCTATATTTTCATCTGCCTCTTGCACGCACTGTCTCAGGGAGTAAGAGCTTGACTGATAACTTTCAATTTGGCTCATTGTCCCCACATCTGGCAGCTTGACACCAGCCTTGCAAAATATGGAAAACTTTTTAAACACAAAATATTTTAAATAGACCTATCAAGGCATGGAGGTAAATGAACTACCCTATCTCTTAACAGACTAGGTCCAAGGAAAGGTGAAGTGACTTCTAAGACAATGGTGAAAGAGAGATAAACATAGCTGTCATCCCTCCTCAACTTTTCAATAAAAACCCACTATGTTCCAATAAGCCAATAGCACCATCGGCAGAACTCCCATAGGTTTGGGGCTCTGTAGCAGACAAAATAATGTTTGCCCTAAAAATGACTGCATTCTAATCCTTGAACCCCCTTTCATGACAAACGGATCTCAACAGATCAGATTAAGTCAAGGACCTTAAGAATGAGAGAGGATCCTGGATTAGCTAGGTGGACCCAATGTAATCACAAGAGTTCTTAAATGTGGAAGAAGGAAGCAGAAGAGGCTTTCAGAGTGACATGATGAAAAAGGATTTGACCCACAATTCCTGGCCTTGAAGATGGAGGAAGAGGGCCTTGACCCAAAGTATGCAGATAGCCTCTAGGAACTAGAAAGGGCAAAGAAGCAGGTTGTCTCTTGGAGCCTTCAGAAGGAATGCAGCTTTTCCAACGGCTTGACTTTAGCCAATTTGTACTGCATTGGCCTTCCATCCAGCAGCACAGTAAGATAATAAATTTGTGTTGTTTTAAGCCACCAAGTTTGTGGTAACTTTTTACAGAAATAATAATAAACTAATACAGGCTCTTTCACAAACACCTTTTCGCTTGATCCTCAAAACAGCTTCTTGAGGCAGGTATTATTATTAACTCGATTTAAAAAATTACTTCTCATTTCTGAGCTTTAGTTTGTCCATTTTACCTGAAGCTCAGCAAGGGGAAATCATTTGCTCAGTATTTCATGGCTATAAGAAGTAGAGCTGGAACTCAAGCACAGATATATGTGATTGTCTTCTTTCTCTTATATCCTCTGACTTTTTGAGTGTTTTTGAGATCTCAGCCTCAAGAACAACCCAGATGACTCGCATTGCTAAATACCTAGTGCCTCTCAACCCAGTACTCAATGAATGTCTGGTGCTACAGATTGTTGATATGGTTCCTCCCTCATTTTATATGTTAAAGCCTAATCCTCAATGTGGTAATAATATTTGGAGGGTGATTAGGTCATGAGGACAGAGACCTCTTGAATGGGATTAATACCCTCATAAAAGAGACCCCAGGGAGCTTGCTTCTCCTTCTCCCATGTGAGAACACAGCAAGAAGACAACCACCTATGAACCAGGAAGTTCACCAGCACTGAGCCTCCCAGCATTTTGATTTTAGGCTTTTCACGCTCCAGAACTGTGAGAAATAAACCTACGTTGTTTATAAACCACTTTGTTCATAGAATTTTGTAACATCAGCCCAAATGGACTGAGATATCTGGCCAAATAACTACATGTAAATACAATGTTTTAATCAATATCTCCAGAAGCAACAGCTTCTTTTCTACTTGCAATTGATTTTCATGCACAGGAAAATGCTCATGGAAACTATCTTGGATTATGTCACTGGGATGAAGACAATTCACTCTGCACCTGATCATCACCATGGTCACTTTGCCGGGCTGTCTGATCCCTGGCTTCCTTATCAACTCAGCCTCCACCACCATGGACCAGGGCACTTAAATACCTCTCCATGTGCTTTCAGCAAGCAGCAACTACTTACTGTTGATTAAAATTAGCAAAAAGGCCAAGCAATGTTTATCACCCCACTGTCATGGGCAAAAGCTTACTCTCTCCTGCAGCTGATGGGTTCCTTTTGCCAATGATAAATAACCATCAAAAACTTCAAACTCTGGCCTAATGGATGACAAGTGCAAAAGTAGCAAACTGGTGGATGTGGAATTAATGCTCTGAATATGGTGAATTTTTCTCCGGAGAAAAATGTGCCTCAATAAAGAAATTAATCAGACCTCTGCTCACTTGCCCTTTGAAGGTGAACTACTCAACATTCATTTCTCTTTTCTCCCTGACAGGAAGGGTGCTGCCATGTCACCTGCCCAAACTAATATGTGTTTTCCTAATCTACTGTATATCTTTTTCCATTGAATAATTCCTATATTCTTGGGTCCTGCCTTCTAATTCTTAGCAAATATTCATCTCAGAAAAAATAATAAACAGAATTACTTCTTTCAGTTTTTGTTTTGTGTTTCTCTGCTTTCATGGTTCCCTGAGAAAAGACTTGCCTTTGTAGGAAACAGCTGCCTCCACAAGCAGCCAATAGAGCTGGAGTCCCAGATGCCAGGCCAGAGTGAGACAGCAGGCAACACTCTGAATTCTCTAAAAGTTGCCAAGAAATGAAATATCTGGAGTTGGTCCAGCTATTTGGGCCCATTGTAAATAGTGGTACTGATATAGCAATAAGTATAATAATATAATAATAATAATAATGCCATATAGTTATTGAGTATTTCTTTTGGTAGGAATAATAAGAACATTTAATTTCTGTTCTCACTTAATCATCACATAAACCCCAGCAGGCACATATTAATATTCACACATTTTTCTCAGAGGAGAAAATTGAGCTTTAAGGAAATGAAATGCATTTCTGAGGATCACTCGCAGACAGACCTGGGTTTGATGCATAAGTGAATACGCTTTCCGCTACTGCTTGGCAGAGTTAGAGTGCATGACTAGCTTTCATCGTTAGTGACTTCCTTTAGCTACATGTGTCTGATTCCATTTCACCTTGTAACCATTACTACAATTCACAAGAACTGGGCTAAATTGAAGCAGATGGAGATGCATGGTCAAAATGAGGAGCAGTCCAATTAAAAGGCCAGGCAGACTACTAAACTAACTTTTCAGTCTGAACAGTTAAGACAGAAAGAGCAAATCTGTATTCAAAGCTAATAATATGAAAATTAATCCAACCAGGTAAAAGCCAAGGTTGGAACAAAAGGTAAGTAGTGGAGCTTGGATTAATTACCCAAGCTGCCTCACACCAGGAATGTTATCTAATTGCAGTACAATGTGTTTCTGCAATTCAGGAAGACAGAGTAGAAAGAAGATCAGACGGCCTTAATCCTCGTATGTTCAGTATAGCCATAGTGACATGCAGGAGAATTTAGGTGGTACAGAAAAAAATTATTTAAAATAACGTTTTGCAGATATCAGGAAGAAATAAAGCTTAAGTCGGCCATTTAACTAATGATTTTATATTTGGGATGAGGCTAAATGTGCATAGGTGAGTAGTGTTGATAGAATAGAATTTAAAGTCAATATAAGGAAGAATACTAAGTAAACAAAATAGTGGTAAAGGTATGGAAAACTGGATAAGGTCAAAGTCACTAAGCTCTTACGATAATATTGCTTAAAGTAGGGGTAATATTTTATTAGAAAATATAATTGCAACATTTCCAGCCAGGAAAGACATATGACTAAACATCTAATTGGGCAATATTTCCTGTGATTCCCTTGTAAGCTCACCAATGTGCTGATATATTGAGTGTTGAAAAAATAAGAGGAAGATAAAATCCCTACTACCTCTCCTCAAGCAGCATCTATTATGGGGACAAAATAAAATCCCCAGAAAAAAAATTGGCAAATAATAGTATGAATCTCAGAAAGCCTAATGATATATATTCAGAGACATAAGGAAACAGTGAGGCATGGAGTGGTTAGGAAAATTTCGTGAAATGGAGGAAATATAGCCTGACCCTTGAAGGATACATTGAATTTCCCAAAGTATGGGGAAAGGGAGAAATATGTAAGGCTAAATAGTATTAGTCAAGGTAGAATGAATGTGTTGCATTTTATAAGGATGTACAGGTGAGGTAGGGAGGAAATGTGAATTAAGGAGGGAAAGTGGTGTTGGGATTAAGTAATCTTACTATAATTAATATGTCCAAATAATTCAACCAACATGAAAGCCTGGGATTACTGCCTGTTGTCTACTGGGAAATTCCCAGACTGATAGTGACAGAAGAGACTTTCCATCTCATCAAGCCCTTCTCTTCAATAAATAATAGGGCTCAAAGGTCACCTCTTTCAAGCAATCTCTTTGAAGACAAAATCTATAGTGACAGAAGCAAAAATATTCATTGATAAACCAACTACAAAACGACCTAGCACATGTCATGTGTCAAGCACTAGTAGGCTCTGAAGATACTGAAACGTACAAAAGAGTCACTCTTAATTAAAAAAACAACTCACAATCTAGAGAAGAAGACAGAAAAATAAACATCTGATTATAATAGAGGATGAAAATCCTCTATTTATGGAAGCAGTCAACCGAAATTGTAGGTATCATATTGGAAAATCAACCAATTCATCCTGGTGGGAGAAAAGAAACAGGTTGGCTGAGCGCAGTGGCTCACACCTGTAAACCCAGCACTTTGGGAGGCCAAGGCGGGTGGATCACCTGAGGTCAGGAGTTTGAGACCAGCCTGGCCAACGTGGTGAAACCCCCTCTCTACTAAAAATACAAAAATTAGCCGGGCATGGTGGCACATGCCTGTAATCCCAAGCTACTCAGGAGGCTGAGGCAGGAGAATCACCTGAACCCGGGAGGTAGCCATTGCAAGGAGCTGAGATCCCGCCATTGCATTCCAGCCTGGGCAACAAGAGCAAAATTCCATCTAAAAAAAAAAAAAAAAAAAAAAAAAAAAAAAAAGATGGCTGAGTGCTAACTTAAAGGACAAGCAAACCCCTACAAAGTCAATAAGGTAAGGAAAAGTATTGAAAAAAGAGAAAATACCATATGTAAAAAGAAAGGTATAAGAGAAAACAGTGTTCAGAGAATAACAAAAATTTTAGAATACTGAAGTGTAAGCCAAATTGAAGTAAAAGATAAACAAATAAAGTTAGCAGCAAAGGCAGAGATCCAGCTTATAAATTGGATTAGATGAACTCTCCCACTAAAAAAAATTATCAATATAGTCCTCCCTTGGTATCTGTGGAGGACTGGTTCCAGGACCTCCTAAGGATACCAGAATCTGCAGAGGCTCACGTCCCTGATACAAAGTGGTGTATGGCTGCATATAACCTCTGTACATTTTCCTGCACACTTTAAATCGTCTCTAGATTACATATAAAACCAAGACAATGTAAATGCTATATAAACAGTTGTTATACTTTGTTTTTGGGGGGAAAATGACAGGGGAAAAAAGTCTGTACATGTTCAGTACAGATGCAATATTTTTAAAATATTTTTAATCCACAGTAAGTTGAATCCATGGATATGGAACCACAGATACAGAGGGCCAACTGCACATACACACACATACATACATATGTGATACATATGGTTATATGTTTGCATTGAAGAGCAACCAACTCAAACAGTACCTGAGGGGCCATAATATGAGAGACAAGGAAAATACACAGGTGAGCAACACATTACTTTTGACTTTTTTTCTGAGGGCATTTTCCACTGTGCAGTGCAGGGAACATATCTCCAAGTACTAAATACCAATTTCAGTGGATTTAAGAATCTTAAGTGTCAGAGATTAAATTCCAGAACCACCAGACAGCAGAATTATGAGAGACAAAGTCTTGGAAGAGAGAGAATCACATAGAAAGAAGTCCCAAAATCTCCATACAAATATTCTCATTTTTATTCTCATTGAGTATCCCCATATTCTTCATGCACTGGGAAAACTCCACGAAACACAGCACAAAATATAATCTAAGGAGCAGAGATACCAGCAGTCATTCAGTGCTGAGGAGATGAAAATTGGATTTCAAATATTGCCAAGAAGGGCCTTAATAAACACCCTGGGATCTCTTCGATATCCCAAAAAGTCTTAGCTTTAGGAGTCAAGACCATTATCTAGAATTAAACACAAAACTGAAATAGATCAGTAAAACCTAGAACCATTCTTGAGAGGATAAAGCTTACTTGCTGCAACATGACTTGCCTGACAAAATTTAAGCATCTTTGCAGAAAGAAAGCATCATCAAGATTCCCAACTTCATTTCATTTAGAAGTCCATCATTCAATCAATAAATTGTAATATACGGAAAAAACAAAGACTAAGTGCCACCCACCAAATAAATGGGGTAAAAAAAAAAAAGAGGAAAATTCAAAAAAAAGTTAGACTTTCCAGACAGGAACTTTAAAATAATTATAATTCATATATTCAAAAATAGAGGAAGGGAGGGAAATTCTCAACAAAGACTTAATACATGAAAATGTGTCAAAACAAAAATTTTAGAAATGAAAAATTCAATCACTAAAATTAAGTATTGGGTATATATAATGTCAGATTTGAAATAGCAGAAAGCCTGTAGAAAATATCTAAATTTGAGGCAGAGACCAAAAATGATAGAAAATAGAAAAATGAAGATTATAAAAAACTCATGAGATATGTTTAAAAGATATACAAGGCACGAAGTAAGACATTTCAGAAGGAAAAATTTGAAGAAATACTAACCATTTTTAACTGACAAGATGCAATCATATTTAAGAATCCCAAGGAGGAAAAATTACAAAGAAAGCTCTACCTAAGCAAATCACATGTAAACAATTAAAAAAGCAACGAAATGATAAGAGCATTCAGAAGTAGGGGGAGTTGGGTGGAGGATGTATTACCTTCAAGAAAACAATAATAGCCTTCGGGCTGATTTAATCATGTGAGTAATTAAAAACAAAAAGCAAAGTAAAGGATCTGTTTAAAGTGCTAAAAGAAGAAAAAAAAAGTGCAGTTCTAGAATTTTATCCCTGAGAGACTGTGTCTCACAATTTACAGCAACGTATAGGCATTTTCAGATTAATTAATTGGGAACAATCTATTGCCCATATATCTGCCTACAAAACATACTAAAGCTGACGAATAATTATCCCAGGTGTTAAGTACAAAACTACAGCAAAGCATGAAAGGCACGGGACAGAGAAAAGGTCACAGTTTAGCTTCCTAGGATGTATACAGGAGGAACACAGAGGGTTACTGTCGGAATCAACACCTTTGGGGATTAAAGGAAGCAGGATGGGCATAGGAATCAATTTGGCTGCTGTACAGTGACAACAAAGTCCTCCGCTGATCCTCCAAGCCGTTCTACCCTCTTATCTCCCGCTCACTGATGAGGCCTGCCTAATCTAGGACAAATGGCTCTCTTCACCCAAGTGCGAATGCTAAGAAGGGCAACGAGGTTTTGAGTTATTGGCTATCTACCTACCAGCAGCTGAGACAATGGGTGTGCTAATCCTAAAGGGATTAGGTGTGGGCAATGGGACACTGTGTCTGCTACAATCTGCCTCTTGGGGGCGCTTTGATCTACTTATATTAGTTCTGGGAGGAGATTTTTCAGGATTCTGGCAGGCTACCTTTTCTTTTTTTTTTTTTTTTTTTCCTTTTTTTTCTTTTCTTGGATGAAATGTATAAGGAGAAGATGTGTAATATTAATTAGAACCCTCACTACCACAGCTGGTTTCTAGGCCTAGACAGATAACTTATTTTCTTTTTCTACCATCGATTTTATATTCCCTCTATCCCAGGGCCTCTGCTGATACAGGTTAACTTCCTGGTGGCGTGACACAGACCCTCATTCCCAGTTAAGTTAGCAGGCCTTTCTCTGGATGAAGTCGATGCTTTCGTTCATTTGCCACCGATGCTGCCCAAGAGACACCCATGCAGATCGTTTAGGGGCCAAACATAAGCTTTCCTGACCCATTTGATAACGGTAGCCTTAGATCTTCCTGGTGATCACAGCCCATGACCCCTTTCATCATCTGATGGGTTGAGGCACTAAAAACGTTTGGGTGACAGTTACAGTTTGTAATTTAGTTGCGTCCTGGCTGTCTGGAAGTTAAGACCTCTGAACTTAACGCCGAATAGGT